>NC_000001.11:248305333-248456848 GCF_000001405.40 Homo sapiens | reverse complement strand
CACATTGTGCCATGTGCTTCTCCCCTTTGTTTTGTTTTTGAGACAGTCTTGCTCTGTTGCCAAGGCTGGAGTGCAGTGGCACAATCTTGACTCACTGTAACCTCCACTCTGAGTTCAAGCGATTCTCCTGCCTCACCTACCAAGTAGCTGGGATTACAGGCATGTGCCACCACGCCCAGTTAATTTTTTGTATTTTTAGTAGAGACAGGGTTTCGCCATGTTGGCCAGGCTGGTCTCGAACTCCTGGCCTCAAGTGATCCAACTGCCTCGGCCTCCCAAAGTGCTGAGATTACAGGCATGAGCCACCATGCCCAGCCACTTCTCTCATTTGTAAATTGTTTATCAGTATCATGGCTTGGCACAAAACACCAGACCAGAGGTTAGAAGACGTGGTTCTGAAGCCCCATCTGCCTCTTGCTGGAATGGGGCAATAATTTGCTGTGAACATCAGCTTCTTCATCTCCCATGGGGCTAATTCTTTCTCTAAATACTTTATAAGAATTTGTGAAGATCAGAATCAAAATCAGGTAATGTAGTTAAATGTTTTCAAAACTAGGGACAGTCTTCTATTTTTTCCTCATTACCTGGATTAGTGCATGCCATGTTTCAGGTATACAACTGATAATTTAGTAACTTAAATATGATGTGTATTACTCAATATTAAAATTTATATATTATTTTAATAAAGAAGCAAATCTGGTGACCACAAATTACCTTATGTAAGAATTTGGTGAGATGACTGGGGAAAAATCCTTGGTCACTCCCTTTTACAGTGGGACTAGTTTTATGTGTGAAGGGAGTGGATACACACCATGTGTAAAATGAGATTAAAATTTTTTTTTAAGTTGTATTAAAGTAGAGCCTAACAGAAAAGCACACACATCAACAGTGGAAAGATTGATAAATCACCAGGAAAAGAACACGTTGATGTAACCACCATGAAATTTGTTAAATAGACTCAAACATTGAATAAGTCACCTCCTTCCATGCCCCGATCACTAATGTCCATGATATCCCTAGAAACTTGTCAAAATGCATTTCGCTTATTGCTTCAGGTATACTCTTGAAATGTCTGTCAATGTTAGAGTTAAATATTCTAGTTAAATATGCAAAGAATTAATCTTGGAAACATAAGAATAAAAGTCCTAATTTTTAATACATAGCAACTGAGGAAATGGGAAAGAAAACACATATCCCAGGATAGAGCACAAATGCAATGTGAACTGAAGGAGTTTTGTAGAGGGAAGATCGAGAAGGTGCTAGCTAAGGCAGGAGAATGGAGAATATGGAGGGCATTAGTGCAGAGACACAAAAGAATAAAATGTGAATGGAGCTGAATTGAAATAACACCGAGGATATTTCATAAATGAATCCTGGTCTGTTTCTTCACTTAATCCCTCCAGGACATTCTTCCATCTCTTTTCCATGTGTTTGATTTCAGGGTAAAGATCAAATTATTAGGAACCTTCTGAATGAAAAGCCACCTAGGGGTTAGCATATTGAAGGGAATATTCTTTATCTACGTCAGCAACAATGGAGGAAACATTTTTCCTTCTATCTGTGTTGACACTAGAACAACATAAGGCTGAGTAACCTTTGCTTAGTCTTTGTCAACTATGTAACCGCTCTGTCCAATGTTTTCTAAGCCTCGTATCAACAAAGAAAATAAACACCAGGTCCGTCAATATTTTTTATGTCTCATATTTCAGGACCTTACACACAGGAGAAACTAAAGTTACATGAATGGTGGGGTCAGTGTAGTCTTTGCTTAGTTAGTATTCCACCAAAGTTACACATCTATCAAAGCACCACACCTAACTCCAACTAATTACAAAAATACTTGTCTTCAGCATATCAATGAAGATGTTGAGAATAAGAAAATTGAGCAACTTATTCCACGGGAACTAAGTTAGCTAATAAAATGTCTTGGTTTATTCATTCTACATTTATCTATTAACAATTTGAGCATAAATGGCAGTTTTGTAGGTTTTTGGCCATGTAACAATCTTAATGGCAGAGTCAATTTTCAATCAATGAATCAATATTTCCAGGAATATATTGGACTCCATGTGAATAAAGGCAGGGCAAGTATTTAATTTCAGAGGTAAGTGATAACATTCATAAAATGTAACTAAGAACATGGAACCAAAAATAGTATCACCTTCCTAAATGTTTTCTAATAAAATTGCTACACATTTAGCACTAGAAAATATTTTACTTGTATTGAATGTTTGAAATTAAGTCATCAAGGAGGTGGCAAATGCTCCTTCCAATTTCCATTCAAAAGTTGGTCAGCAATACAGACAGACAGGCAGGACTCATGATCACAGGTTAACAATAGAGACAGGCAGGACTCAATCACGTGTTAGCAATACAGACAGGCAGGACCCATGATCACACGTTAGCAATACAGACAGGCAGGACCCATGATCACACGTTAGCAATACAGACAGGCAGGACTCATGGTCACACGTTAGCAATACAGACAGGCAGGACTCATGGTCACACATTAGCAATATAGACAGGAAGGACTCACGATCACACGTTAGCAATACAGACACAGAAGGACTCATCACACGTTAGCAATACAGACAGGCAGGACTCATGATCACACGTCAGCAATACAGGCAGGCAGGACTCATGATCACACGTTAGCAATACAGACAGGAAGGACTCATGGTCACATGTTAACATGGGCACTTCCAAGAGCTGCTTGGCGTGCCATGAATGGTTTGTAGGGCTACTTGACTGAGAATGCCCTCTGGAAATGTTTGTGAATCCAGTTGAACAAAGTTGACTAATGCGGAGATGCTCACCAACTTCGCTACTGTTCCTAAGTAATCCTTGCAACAGGATGATTTTGCCTGTTAATTTTGAATTGCTGAAAGTGACACTGAACATTCTTCAGAACCAATACCATATTTTCTGTAATAGCTGCGTTATTGGCCGCAGCACCGCAGATGTTTGCGCTAGTCCTTGCTAGTCCTTCCTGATCAGTCACCACCCCTGATGCTCTGGGAGTCCCCGCTAA
The DNA here is from genome assembly GCF_000001405.40 of Homo sapiens. NCBI lineage: Eukaryota > Metazoa > Chordata > Mammalia > Primates > Hominidae > Homo > Homo sapiens. Next base: position 248,453,817 of record NC_000001.11, on the reverse strand, counting down.
TCCTTCCCGATCACAGTCACCACTCTGATGCTGTGGGAGTCCCTGCTAGCCCTTCCTGATCACAGTCGCCACCCTGATGCTCTGGGAGGAACCACATCTCCCTAGTACTTTCCTCAGAGCTGCAGCCACATCTTTATTCCTCAAGCTGTAGATGAGTGGGTTGAGCATGGGGGTGAGGATGGTGTAGAAGGCAGACACCACTTTATCTTTCTCTGGAGTGTGGTAGGAGTGGGGCAGCACGTTGGTGTAGAAGGCTGCCCCGTAGAAAACGCTCACCACCATAATGTGGGAGGAACACGTAGCAAAGGCTTTGCGCCGGCCCTCAGCAGAGTTCATCCTGTGGACAGTCAGGAGGATGTGCGTGTAGGAGACAGAGATGACAGATAGAGGGATAAGCAGCATCAGCACGCAGCAGGCATACATCAGGGTCTCATAGAGTGACGTGTCTGTGCAAGACAACTTCAGCACGGCTGGGATCTCACAGAAAAAGTGATTGATCTCTCGGGATCTACAGAAGGGGAAACTCATAGTGACAGGAGTCAGCATGAACCCATCCAAGGAACCACCAACCCAGGAGCCGACCACCATGAATAAGCAAACCCTGCGGTTCATGAGGAGAGGGTACCGTAGAGGGTTGCACACAGCCACATAGCGGTCATAGGCCATGAGACCCAGCAGGAAGAATTCCCCTCCAATCAGGGTCAGGTAGAGGAAGATCTGAACTGCACAGCCCAGGAAGGAAATGGTCTTGTCCTTGGACAGGAGGTCCTGGAGCATCTTGGGGACAGTGATACAGATGTAGATGGTATCCATGATGGAGAGCTGGCTGAGCAAGAAGTACATGGGTGTGTGGAGGCGGGAGTCCATGTGGATGAGCAGAATCATGACCAAGTTGGCTGTTATAGCCACCACAAAGATGGAGAAGACTATTGCAAAGAGAAGCCCGGGGAAGGCAGGATGGGTGATGAGGCCTGTGAGGACGAAGTTAGTGGAGTTCTGGAGAAGACCCTCCATGCCCATGGTCCATGACAAGCTCCTTGGGCTGTAAAGGCAGAAATCTGGCAGCTTATTTAACGACCTGATATGTAGGAAGAGCCCACCAGGAATAGTATGTCAGAAGCAGCGTGAGATCAAGAAAAGATCACCTACTTCAGGATCATTTGAAATCCTGGGTTTCAGTATTAATGATCTGTATGATATTGGACAGAAAATTAATCTCAACTCAATTTCATCATCTGTGAAAGGTCATCATAGTTCTGTACTCTACAGGCTGGATGTGAGATGTAAATGTAATTCATACAGTACCTGGTTTAGAATCTGATTTTTACTTTGAACTATCTTCTGAATACATTTCATAATCTTATCACTTTTAGATTGAAAGTTTTCTGAGGGTGGTTACTGTGCCTTATTTCCCATTTCGCCTAGCGAAATGATTTGAATTTAAATTGCTCTCTGCATCTCCATCGAGATGATTGTACTAGAGTCATCCACAGACGTCTATTTGTGACTTAAATTGATAGAAAACATCTAGATAACTGACTTTTTTGGCTGCTGTTGTTACTGAACAGCTTTATGAAAGTCAGGAACATCAAAGCAGTACAGATGACCTCATTTGGGGTCAGGAGCCACACTGTCTTGTGGTTAGACTTTTGTCCTGCAAAAGGAGTTCATCTTTTAGGCATGGACTGCTGTGAGAACTTGTGTCTATTTGTTCTCACAGAATAATTTGGGGATCATAAATCTGGCAGGACAACCACCACAAACTGCTTCAGAACAGGGCTTTAGTTTCGTTATCCTGGTGGTCTTTCCAGTTGACAATGAATTCTGCTAAAATTTAGATGCTGCATCATAGAATTCAATCATGACCTCATCTTAAAATATTGTTTAGCCAAAATGTTAGAGTTTCTCTGACAGAGTGGCATCCTGAACCTGTCCTAATATTATATCATCCTAGTAATCCACTGCTACTTGGGTTTTTTCCTCAAGTTTATTTCTCTACCATTTTACTGATCCTTCATGTTTATAAGTAAAAATAACTACAGTCGGGTGCAGTGGCTCCCACCCGTGATCCTAGCACTTTGGGTGGCCGAGGCAGGCAGATCACTTGAGGTCAGGACTTCGAGACCAGCCTGGCCAACATGGTGAAACCTCATCTCTACTAAAAATACAAAGATTAATCGGGCATGGTGGCAGGTGCCTGTACAATCCCAGCTACTCAGGAGGCTGAGGAAGGAGAATCGCTTGAACTTGAGAGGCGGAGGTTGCAGTGAGCTGAGATCGTGCCATTGCACTCCAGCCTGGGGGACAAGAGTAAGACTTTGTCTCAAAAAACAAAACAAGAAAACAAAAACTATAGATGGTAAAGAAATTTCTGAACTCAGACGCGACACAGCAGTATCAAACATTCCTTGAATCAATGGAATGAATTCTCATGCTTTTTTGAGTAATATGAATGTGTGTCCCTTTTATATGTTCAGGAATACTGAGGGATGAATTTTTCTTTATTAGATTATGGTGTATTTCTTCTCATTTTAGTGACAGGATTACTGAAGAAACTTGTTTTCTGTCAAACGTTTTGGCCACCAATACTACAAATGTATCTGAATCTTTTGGTTCTAGAATAGTCAAAATTTACAGTCCCTGAAGCATCAAGGAATAAACTCTCCTTATGTTGAAGCAAAAACAATAGCAACAGTAGAGTTTTCCTTCTTAGTGCTCAGAGATGGAGATATGAGTAATAGGCCTAAAAGATGAATAAACATCCAAAGGGAGAAAGAAAAAAAAGCAATTTTTGTGTTGGTCTGTGCTGAAACTTCAGTTTGTCACACCTTGGTTGAGGAGAAAAAAATACATGAGCATCAAATATTAACTCCTGTCAAGCGTGATAAAAGTCAGCTACTTTTGCCTTCTCTAACAGGTGAAAGATTTTCTTGTGATAGCCACAGCTTCGAATCATGGGTCAAGAGACTATTTAAATATACAATTCCATTTGCAGTGGCTTTTGCAATAGCTTGTTGGAAATTAAAAATATTAATCTCGCAGACAGTAAGTTTGTCTTGACCCACATCTATTGTTTCAGTTAAATGCATTATGGATATTATACATTAATTACTATAGTGTTAGGTTAGCTGACAATCATCCTTTTAAAAATATACTTTGAGGAACTGAAATAGGCAAGAATGAGACAAACGAAAATGACCTAAGAAAATAACCAATTACTTTTGAATCAGAACATGAACCAGAGCATTTTGTTTCATGTAAATAATCAGACTCCACAAGGTATTCAAAGAGGAGGTAAAACACTATTGCCTCAAATGTCTATGATAAAAGGATAAGAACGTTTTCAACTCCTAGATCTTATCTTACTGTAGGATCCCAGAAGAGGAGAGTAAAAAAGCTGAAACAGGAGAAAGATATGATTTTAGCCACCTCATTTTTATACAACCGAGACCGTGTTAAAAAAAAAAAAAGAGGTTCCTTGTGAGTGTGAGCGTTGTGTGTACATGTGTGTGTAGTGTGTTCATATGTGAGTGTGTGAGCATGGTATGTGTGGTGTGTGCATCTGTGAGTGGGTGGGGATATGTGTAGGGAAAAGGCCCTGCTAAAGAGCAGAACTACACTGCTTGGCACAAACGAGCAATTCACCCATTTCAATGAAGCCAATATTTAGAACCAAATGTGACATGTTCAAATGCATGCCTAATGTTATTCCATAGGCTACTGGGCATTGCAAGTAGACAGGGAAAATATCTGCATTATGGACAAAACATGTCATCAGTTACTTCTGTTTACATCAGTTCCGAGCATCTACATTTTAACATTAGAGTTGATGCTATTTAGCATTACGATGTGTGGTTTGACTTATTCACACATACAAGATCCTAGATTCCATTCCCCATCAGGTCATCTTTCCCTCACTATCATCATTCTCCACTCTAAGACACTTAGGTTCCCCTTCATCAACTAGTCTTTCCAAAAAAAAAAAAAAAGAAAAAGAAAAAGAAAAAGAAAAAGCTTTTATTTGCGTGATCAAAGCTTCAGGCTCTTCAAGGCGGTGAATGATTTCTCCCCAGTGCAGATTAGAACATAACCCAGAACCCCTGACCCCCAGGACCAGTTATAACATCACCCAGTGTTGCAACATAATCATCTGGCAGGAATGGGAGGGTGGGAAGATCAAGCCGAGAGGTGGAGGACACCAAGCACAGGAGCTCCACATCTGTTATCTGCACACTTGGGGCTGATGGATGAGGGATGAGTGAGCTCGCCAAGAGGCATTTATTCTACCTGTGGTCTGCCACATGGAGAAGAGGGAAAGGAGAATCTCTGCAGGGTGCCAGGTGATCAAAGCTGTATGTTTCAGGACAACAGCCCTGGAGTTGTTCTGGGAGAAGCCATAGAAATCAAGAACAATTGGTGACTCACCGAAAATTGAAGAGATCTCCAAGAGAAGTCACAGGTTCTTCTACCAGGGAGAAGAGCTTAGAGCAATTCATTCTGACACCCCTTTCCGGGAATTCAGCATGACTAGAGCTATGAGAAGTATCTGCCAGTGTCCTTTCTGTGGCAATAAAGCTGCTAACCAGAACTGATCTTCTCCACTTGACACAACGTACCTGTAAAGCTTGAAAGGGAAGGGTTTTCCATTCCATCCTTAGAGACAGAATGCCTGAAGCACAAACACATTCCGTGTTCAAAACACTCACCTAGCACTGGGTGAGCTATGAAGATTGATAGAACTGACAATATTCTTAAGGGGCACATAGTTAAGTTTGATTAATGTATCATATCAAAAATCCTCATAGAAACAGATCATTTTAAGTCTAAAGTGGGGATTTCTAAAAATGAAAATATATTGGGGACTTTTTAAAGGTGTTTAGCCACAAATAACAGCTAATGCCATTGTGCTTTGCTCAGCTGTCAAATTGCTCTGGGGATGACACGCATAGTTACTTCTCCAGACCTCAGTGTTCTTTCAGTAAAAGAATGGCATGTCACCAACATGTTACTAATCCTAAGTGCCACATAGCTCTAAGAGTCATCGATTATTTGTTCCTGAATGAGAAAAAGGGGGCCAAGGATAGTATATTGGGATCTTTCTGCTTTGATTAAAGCTTATGAGAGAAGATAATGGTGTGGAAGGCACTAAGAGACGGAGGAAGAGAAACAGGAAGTTTGGTATTCCCCAAACCATAAACCAATAGGGCTTTACGTGTGCCAGGTACTTTAGAAGTTTTACATACATGAAGTCATAGCAAACCAGAAGATGCTATGCATCAGTTTGAGTAGTGGACAAAGGTACAGTTTCCCCTTATCAGTGGGAGACAGTTTTCAAGACCCCCACTGGATATCTGGAACTGCAGACAGTACTGAGCCCTATATATATACCATATTTTATCCCATGCATACATACCTATGATCAAGTTGAATTTATAAGTTAGGCACAGTAAGAGATTAACAATAATAAAATAGAATACCTAAGACAATATACTGTGGCTATAACTTTTTCAGTTTGATGTGACAGCAAAACTTGCATAATTTTTTCCTTCATGATTTCAAAGATAAAGTTTTTCTTAATATAGATCTTGGCAAAGTCAGCTTATGAGGGTTTCTCTCTCCTTAAGTCAAGAACTTTCACCTTTTTAGTTAAAGCAAGCACCTTACAGCCTCTCTTTGGCACATCTAAATCGCCAGCTTCACTAACTCCATCTCTTTGGAGCCATTAAGAAAAACTGAGTTACTTGAACACAAGCACTGAGTCCGCCACAGTCGATTTGATAACCTAGACAGCTACTGAATGACTCAGGGGGTAGCATAGACAGTGTGAATCAACTACACAGAGGGATGATATTTCCACCACACTACTCAAAATGGTGGGCAATTTAAAATTTGAGATTTTTCATTTAATATTTTCTACACATGGTAGATAGCAACCTGGCGGATTGCAGGTTAACTAAAACTATGGAAATGAAAGTGTTAAAGAGAGGAATACCATGTCAGAATTCTTTACCTCAAAGGTTCAACCCTAGGGCTAGAGACTGAAAGGATCTTAAAGCATGAAACTTTTAAAGAGCATCTAAGTGATCACTGCTTTGAAAATAGTGGATCACAAGAACCAGGAGAAGACAGGAGTCAGTTCAGTTAAACAGTGCAATAGTAGAGAGGGAAACCGGTCTGATTCCGAAACTCGAGACTGAAGGAGAGAGGACATGATCAGAGACAATGTAAATAATGTCAAAAGGCTCGCAAATGGGAATTAGCAGGCACTAGGGGTGGAAGAGAGAGGGGAGAGTCCAGTCTAACTACAGCTGAAGAGCCCGTGGAGAGCTGAGGTGTGTGGGGTGGAGTGCGGCTGGAAAGTGAAGGCAGGGAGACCAGAACTCAGCGTCGAGAAATAAGGTGCAAATGGGAGTTGTTTCAGTCAGAAAGTTACATGCTGAAATAAGGTACTTATGAAAGATCCACCTGGCAGTTTTAGTCTTGAAAGCAAGATTAATATTAATTGCTACTCATAAGTGTTCATAGCCACAGTGGGCTTTGGCCAGGAACTCCTTTTCTTCTTCTACCTACACAAGCTACTCCTGTACTCCGTCTGCTTTTATGAATGAACGCATTTGGACCTTGCTTCCTACATTAATCAGATTTTATCCCCTTCTCTCCACAGCAACGTAGTATCCAATGATGTGAATTTCTCTTTTCCCTTACCTTATCTCCAGTTCTAATTACATACTGCCTTAGTTACCACCCCCCTTTATCTGCCTATTTATTTAAATGGTAACTGTTTTCATTCATGGAAAAGTAGTCTACTTTCCCTCCCATCCCAACTGACAATTTGGAAATTTTCAGTGTGGAAAATTAGGCATAAGATAGAAGTTTTCTTGGCTTTAAAAAAAAAAAAAAAATCAGCACTATAATGGCATGTAGGTGAACATTTACTGAACACTTACTATGCCAGAAGTTAGTTCAGTTTGAAGAATACAGGTTTTAATGCTACATGCCAACTTACCTAAACTACATTGTCAAGGATATCACCAATGGACAAGAAAGAAAGAAGTACATCTGGTTTCCTGGAGCATTGAGAGTAAAAGGTCTAAATTCCAAGCTGCCAGCAGGAGGGCTGTGATGTGGATGTGCAGGGGAATGCTTCTGGGCAGCAGTGTCAGTTCGTGTGGTGGCAAATAGAAATCAAAGGATCTGGCATATGGCCCATCCAGTCCACCCTGCTAACGCTGTGGAAGAGGAAATGGAGAGTAAGGGAATGGAGGATTACACAGGAGCAGCAGAGGCGAGGTGAGGCGAGGCGAGCCCATCTAGTCCACCCTACTAATACTGTGGAAGAGGAAATGGAGAGTAAGGGCATGGAGGATTACACAGGAACAGCAGTGGTGAGGTGAGGTGAGCTGAAGCAAGGGGCAGACACCTGCAACTATAAACACAATGCACTCATTATTATACCCCTACAGCCTGAGCTTCCAACATGTCCACATCTCCCCCTGGGCTCCAGTTACTCAGCTCAACAGGCTTTTATATGCCATGCTAAGATGGCTTCTAGGAGACCTCTAATAGTTTTATTAAAAAAAAAGATCTTAAGGCACACGTGGATGCCTTATGGGTTCAATAAAAGAGGAAGGAGGTTAAAATGAAAAAAAAAAATCATGATTTCCCTCCAAGCATGAAGTCTTCAGCCACACCTAAATGCATATGAACGGAGCAATTAATCATTTAACTTAAAATGTAAATTAAAATTTTAACAAAATATTCAGAGGGCAATCTATGCTTATCCAATAGTATGCACCCCTGCTACCAATTAATTCTGAAACTTTCTCATTGTGAATACCAAGCACATTCTTCTAACTGTCGGCTCTTACATGCCATTTTCCTTCAGTAAATCTATTCATGTTCTTCTAAACTATTACATTTCCCTTAGCTTCCCACGTTTCATGCTAAATGCCCTTTTCCAGTTGTCTGCTTGCCAGATAGTGAATATATGTTATTTATGCTTAATCTTGAGAAGACCACTGCCTCAGTTATTAGCAGATAAGCTCACAGTAGTAACGTGGCCTTCTAATAGTTACAGAGTAATACCTGAAGAAAACATCCCAGTATCTGGGTGATGTTCTGTTTTTCATGAAGATCTAAGGATCCTACCTCAGAGAAGCTGGGTCCAAGTCTTTCTAAAGCAGTAGTGGAATGTCAGACTTCTTATTAAATACATTGTGTAGGGGTGAGGCTAGGTCAAAAAGTCTTTTCACTAATAGAGTCCCACATCCCCCAGGAAGAATTCCTGGGTTAGCAATTAATCCAAGTTGACTGGGTTTACCATGAACTTTAGAAGCAGCCTGTCCTTTCTTGCAGAGGGTGCATTGTTTTCCCAAGTGAAGGACTGGAATCGTTTCTTGGTATTTCATCATGAAAATGTCTTACTGAATCTTGGCATCTCTCCAGAGAGATTTTAAAGGCAGTGATGTGGGGATAAGAGCCTCGCTCTAAATTGAAAATTAGATTTTAAATTTCTTTAGAAATAGAGGCTATGACAAACTAAAAAAGCTCTTTCTCAAAAGTCACTGGCCTCTTGTTTGGGGAGAAATCTTTAAAGTTATAAATAAGTGTGAACCAAAAAGCATTGGAGCCAAGTCTCAATCAATGTAGATGTTTCTGGTGCCAAGGTTGAGGATGCACCTGGGAAAAAGGAACACAATATGACAGGAGCATCTGAGATTTGTGCTTCTTCCAAAGACGGTTGGGAGACTTCAATATTTAAAAGGGAAACAGTGGGCATTAGAGGAAAAAAAAGAAAAAGGAAGTGTGAATAAATGAAGTAGTTTCCTTCTTTGCAGGCTTTAATCAGTGTTGACTGAATTCGCACTTTAGATGTGACAGGAGAGGGTTTAGAGGAACACTCAACTGGGCGTTCATCTCCTGCTCAGTGAATCTGGATTGTATATAAGATAAGGTACACAGTAGAGGAAGCAGTCAAATATGCATTTGTTTCAGGGGAGTGGAGGGATGACTCCCAGGCCTGTCTTTGTCCACTGCCTGTCAAGATAAGCCATTCATTTACATTGTCAGCATGACAATTCAAGAGAATGGTTTTCGGGTAAAGATCTTTGGGCCAGCAAGGAATTTCCTTGCTAGCAGATTGTGAGGGAGGTCCCTTGGGGAGGTATGTAGCCTTCTACCTGTGTAGCTGTCCATTCCGGAACAGTATGGAATCTGTAGCCATACAGTCGGGAACAGATATGGAATATAGTTTTGCATGACAGAGTTCCCAAGCTTGACTTTTCCCTTTGGCTTAGTGAGTTTGGGTCCCAAGAGATTTTCCTTCTACTTTCTCCTATCTTCTATTTTCACAAAAGTGGCATTTGTCACTTAGGTTAAGTGTTTTTCAGAATTATTTGTCTTACGTGTACTACAGAAGAATATTGACCTCAGTAGGAATAAAGGAGACATAAGAAAAATGATGGAAATAACGCAATTGGTAGAGAAAAAAGTGAGGGTAATACAAGTTATGCATTTTCTAAAGTTTTCACCAGAGCACATTAAGATATTTAAACATTAGGAAAATTGAACTTCCTAACATTTATTTCTCTAATGGGGAAAAGAAGGTGGTCTTATTACTAAAGTTCTGCTTCCCAAACAACATCATTGAATGCTTTTCATGCATTAAGTCAGCTAATGGGCAACATTACTTATGATTGCTAGTCATCACAAATCCATTGGACACATACCTTATACCCTCTGTTGCAGATAAGCAGAAAACCCATACCCTTTTTCAGCCTTTAGAATGTTATTCAATAATTCCTGAATATTTTATATGTCATCCATAAATAAAGTTCTCCAACTAACTATTGGATTGATTGGATACACTCTTCCCTCTGGTGTGATGTGTCTTTCTCCAGAGCCACAAATGGGTTACAACCAATATTGATCCTCTCAACCCTGGATTGGTCTTCAGTGCCCGATTTGGCTACAGCCACAGGGGAGTTGATTTTGCTGTCAACAGCCACATCAGTTTTCCTCAAGGTGCCATATCACTAATTTTTATAGTTATGTCATGAAAGCGTTTGAGAAGTGCTGCTGTATCAGTTTGGAAAATTGTTAATACAAGCCCAACTTAAGGAAAAAACAGACCTGTGAACAGTGTATTGATTGGTATTAGTTTCTAACTCATGTTCATGTGTCACAATACTTTGTCTAGTGTTGAACTTAGTTATCTTATATAATTTAGACTTTTTACAAGAGGTATTTTGTGGTGTCTCAATCTTCCATGTTTCTTATTCACTTTTTCTCTTTTCCTTCCCTTTAACTCTCTTCAGGAAGTAATCCTTTTTATATCATCAGTAGGTATAGACTTGGTTGCTACAAGCCAAGACTGACTCCCACAGTTTGGAGTTTAGATTGTTTTAATTTCAGATAATTCTGCCTGCCCACTCTCACTCCATTCCAAAGTGCCACTTGACATTTTTGGGTGAATCTGTATTTGGCAAAACCTTGCTAGCTCCTATAAGACTTAATTTTTAAGTGTTCTATATTTCTAAAGATATTGGCCCTCTGCTCATGTCTCTGAAAAACAGACTATTAATCCATTTTCACACTGCTATAAAACACCCCAAACTGGGTAATTTATGAAGAGGTTAAGTGGGCTCAGTTCCACATGGCTGGGGAGGCCTCACAGCCAATGGTGGAAGGTGAAGGAGAAGCAAAGGCATGTCTTACATGGCAGCAGGCAAGACTCATGTGCAGGGGAACCACCCTTTGTAAAACCATCAGATCTCGTGAGACTTATTCATCATGAGAACAGCATGGGAAAAACCCACCCCCAGGATTCAATTAACTCCCACCAGGCCCCTCCCACTACACATGGGGATTATAGGAGCTACAATTCAAGATGATATTTGGGTGGGGAAACAGCCAAACCATTATCAGAGACACATTCTAATAAGTTCTTAACTGGAGGTTCTGGCAAGAAAAATATGCTGAGATTGCCAAGATCTACAGTAAGAATGAATCTTCTTTGAAATTGTGTAGGAGGAAAAACACATTTGTGGTAATTTTGCTGTCACACCTCAAACTGCAAAACCTACAGCCACAGTGTGTGATAAGTGCTTAGGTAAGAAAGAAAACGTATTACATTTATGGTAGAAGATGAGCAAATATGTTGTGACTGACAGCAGTCAGGTTCTATAGTTCTATACTATGGTTTCAGGCTTCCCCCAAAAGACTTAGAACACAGCCTGAGGATAAGATGGTGACTGCTATATTTGAAATATAATATTTGAGTTGATTCTTTATAATGGTCAATGGACAGACTGTCTAAAGGGGAAAAGTCGAGAGAAGTCAGGGAAGTAGTTGAAGATGACCGTTTTTGCCATGACTGAGCAGAGCCAGAAACAGGCTAGTCCATGATTTTTAGTGGAATACACACCTTGTTAAGAGCTCATGGGTGACTACTAAACCTCAGCTTTATGCCTACCCCAGCCCAAACTGTTCATTGTTCAGAGCCTTCATACCTTTCAAAAAAATGAAATCCTTAAAAATCCCAGGCAGCTTTCCAAATCCCATAAATGCCCCACAGTTGCTGGCATGTGGGTCACTTGTTTCCAGGCAGAGAATATTTAAACTCAAGGGCAATGATAAAGTCTTGTATCCTTCATTTCAAGTCTCTAGCAGCATATGCAATTTGTTTAGAAAGTGGTTACCTTTCCTGAGGACACACACCTCCCAACAACCTTCTGTAGGGCCCCCGTGACATCCTTGTTCCTAAGGCTGTAAATGAGTGGATTGAGCATGGGAGTGAGGATGGTGTAGAAGGCAGATACAGCTTTGTCCTGCTCAGGGGTGTGGTAAGAATGAGGCAGCACGTATGTGTACATGGCAGCCCCATAGAAGAGGCTGACAACCACCATGTGTGAGGAGCAGGTGGCCACAGCCTTTCGCCTCCCCTCTGCCTCGCTCATCCTATAAACAGTAATGAGAATTCTTGTGTAAGAGCCCGAGATCACAGAGAAAGGGATGAGGAGCATCATAATACAGCAGACATACATGGCTGTCTCGTAGGCTGATGTGTCCGTGCAGGAGAGCTTCAGAAGGGCAGGCACCTCGCAGAAGAAGTGGTTGATCTCCCGAGAGGCACAGAAGGGGAACTGCATGGTGACGGGGGTGAGCAAGAAACCATCGATAGACCCTCCCAGCCAGGCTGCCGCCACAATCAACCAGCAGATCTTGCGGCTCATGAGGTCAGGATAGTGCAGAGGGTTGCAGATGGCTACGTAGCGATCACAGGACATGAGTCCTAGGAGGAAGAACTCAGCCCCTGCTAAGGTCAAGTAGAGGAAGTGTTGGGCAGTGCATCCAGCAAAGGAAATGGCTCTCTGGCTCATCACCTGGTCGACCAGCATTTTGGGCACAATGGTGGAAATATACAGGATGTCCCTGAGGGAGAGCTGGCTGAGCAGGAAGTACATGGGGGTGTGGAGGCGGGAGTCTATGTGGATGAGAATGATCTTGACCACGTTGCTGGCTATGGAGGTCACAAAGACCAGGAGAATGAGGGCAAAGAAGCCAGGGGAAACGGGCGTTGCTGAACAAACCCAGAAGGATAAAGTCGGCATACACGGAATAATTGCTCTGCTCCATAGCTCTGTAGGGTACACGAAAGAGATATGATAAAGTTGGAAAGGTATCTGATTTACATAAAACATTATGATGTAGTCATGAAACCAAGGTCAAAATCTTATTTCTTGAAGCTCATAATTTCCCTGAGAGAACTGCCTGAGCAGGATTGTGCTACATCTCATTATACCATCATTGTTCATTTAAGGATTTTCTTGATTTGGTGATTACTATTTAGAGTTCATGATCAAACAATCTTTTTGTTCATGACCATTTATTTCTGTCTTTCGAGTACCACCTTACATTGGTGAGGATGCATATAAGACATAAGAATGGAACCAGCCTGATTCAATAGGATAGGGTGGTGGGGAGGAAAGGAGGATTGTCCACATCCTACACTGCTCTCCTTATACTAGACTCTAGTTCTCACACTTAGAATCCAGTTTGAAGATCACCACGAGTATATATTTGCCTATGGAAGAATAACTGCATTATTTGACCTAATTTACACCATTCTTGACACACTTGTACATTGTAAAATTTGAGTGCTCAACTTACATGTATCAGGTGGAGTATTGCAGAATGAGCCTGTGTTGAATAAAAAGAGCTGAGTTCTGAGAAGTCATCCAAGAATTCATAGGAGGAAAAATCATGGGAGAAAACGTTGAGGGTCAAGTGGTGTTTGCTTTCCTTCTTGCAGCAGCAAACTACCGATTATTAACATACAACTCGTTAAAATGTTAGAATCCCATTTAACTTATGAAAAAATAAACTAGTTTAAGTATTAGAGCTAGTGTATCCCAAAAGAAGGGATCTCTCAAACTTGAAGTTAGATTCTGCATATGTATCCATATCAGTTAAATATTTTACCACAATTTAGGACCACTTATGAGTTATTTGGATAGCTTCTCCCTGCATCATATAGATCTGCACTATCCAGGGTGGTAGCCATGAGGCTTATGAAGCTGTGGAGCCCCTGAAACACGACTGCTCCAAATCAAGATGTGCCATCAGCACAAAGTTAACAATTCAAACACCTGTTAAAAATATATGCAACACGTCTTCTTAAAACTTTATATTATGGTAACTTTTAGATATATTTGGATAATATAGATTAAAATTAGTTTCACCTATTCTTTACATTTTTAATGTGGTTACTAGAAAATTTAGAATTCTCTGTGGCTCCCCTAGGATTTCTACTAGGCAGCACTGGTTAGAGTTATTCCTGGGAATATGACAGCTCCAATTACCTTCATCCAAACAAGTCCTCCAGAATTAAACACCACAAATTAGAATTGAGCCAAAAAATTTAGGTGTGTACCAAATTAGAAAAATGGCTTTACTTGTATATGCATTCACCTGCAAATAGCAGTAAGAACATTAATAACTGATTCGTAAATTTTACATTTCCAAACAACTGTGTAAGATACTAGACCATTCTACAGTTGAAAATGAGGCTTAAGGAAACTTCCCCAAGGAGGAACATTGTTCTTTAAACAGTGACAGTATAATTTGTTCTATGCTGTTTTCCAACAGGACAAAGTAGACATCAATTCATTCCGTAAATATTTCCCGAGAGGCACATTGGGTAAGCCAAAGTTTGATATTCTGAAAGACCCTGAAAGAATGTAAGACATCATCTGTCTTCGAGCCTAGAATTGAGGCACATGAACGTGTGTTGTGTGACCACAGGTGCACTTTCAGAATGGTTTTAAGACCTCAGCAGTTTTGACTTACTTGGTATGTGAACAAAGGACAATAAAAATGATGGAAGCTGCAGCCCACTGGCTGGTAGACAGGAACTTCACACCAGGGCCCCTCAGTACATTCCACCACAACCATGCCACAGTGGATGGATGGAAAACGATGAAAATTCAGATTTTTACTGATGAAACCCACATTATATCCTTATGCATTTTTCAGTTCTCATTCTTGAAATATTACCAGCTTTATGCCAGGGCTTTCCATCAGCTGATTTATAATGTATCTTTATTATTTTAAAAACTGTTAAGCCAGTGGGAAAATTAAAGGCAAACATTTAGTAGCAATTCGTATGATGGAGAGTGCTGAATGCTCACCCAGACCTGGTTGTCCATAATTTAATAAGAACAAGATCCTTGGAGGGCCGTGCTTGTTATTTCACAGTAAATTCAGAGAATGGTGGCTACCTACTGGGGACCAGCCACAGTGACTGCTATTGGTCCACTGGGAATATTAAAGCCCAAGACGAAAAAATTGGTCCAAAAATATCCTTATCAGGGCAGCTGTGTCCTGAACCCTGACCATGAATACTCCTGGCCCTGAAACTTGCTAATGAGACTCTGGGGATCTCCCCAGCTTACTTCACAAAGGGAAAGGGGAGATATGAGTGGCTCCATAACCACTCAGATTTTACAACCATCTTCCAACTCTGGTAGTGTTGATTCATTCACTGTATTTTAAGAGTTACCCAGTATAGCAACATTTAAGAATACTTGGAAAATAAAGGAATCAACTGGATTATACCATGCCCCATGTAATAATTGTCTATGCATAATTCCAAACCTTAGTAAACGTCCAGTTCTATGTATACTTAATATTTAGCACATCTTTCCCAGTCTTTATAGAGACTATTGCTGTGATTGAATATGAGACACTCAGCTTGGTTCACATTCACGTTGTTGAGTTTGCTTATATGCAGTATTATGAGGTGAATTCTCTGGCATAATTCATGGACAATGGTTTACTATGCTTTAGAAGCTTATCACCAAGTTGTTAAATGCTTAACAGTAAGAGAACACACTTGCGGCAGCATCATGCTTGCCCCAGCATTTAGCACTAGTATCGAAACTCACAATATGGATTTGATTATGAAAAAAATTGAACATAGTGTATATTTTGGCTATTTTGATTTTTCATGACCTTTTCTATATAGGTGATTTGTCAAGATTATTAATAAAAAATAAAAATCTATAGACTATTCTTTTGTTCAATTTAGTGCAGCTATTTTGCCCCCCGAGTTACATACATGTAATTGTAACTTTGATGTTTAGGCCAAAAAGTTTTGAAATATTTCAGACATTTTCATTCTGTGTGCTGGATTTTTGAAAAAAAATATTTTCCATCGAGGTATGTGATTAATATACAATTTAAAATTTTTAATGTAATTTTCTATGCACTTAAAATCTTTGGTCTAGACATTAAAACTATGCAACCATTGGTTTATGAGATCAACCATGATAAATTTGTACTTTAAGATCATGCCAGTGAATTCTATCTAATTGGAGTTCTTCAAATAAGCAGGAGTTCAAGTGTGAATGATGAGCAGGAATGACCTAAGTAACAAGGAGAACTGTTGGAAATGTGGGAACACTGTCATGGGTAAAATTAGTTTTCACCCTTGTTGCATGTACAAATTCTGGTATAAAAAGCGAGTACTAAAAATGAGTGCCAGGTTAACCTTAAGACTGTGATAGCGACAGTTAGCTTTGGGAATCTCACCCTTTGCTGTCCATTATGTTTTTCTCTTCAATAGCAGGTCCAGCAGCAGGTAGCCAAGTTTTCTACTTTTTCATTTTTGTTGTCGTTCTGTCAGACCCTGCTCTGCATCAAAGATTGGCACAATTCTTGGTGACCATCTAACTCAGAATACGTTTGAGTGCTAAAAGGCTAAGCTAGACAGGACATGAGGACAACAGGCATAAGAAAGGGAATATCTTGAGAAAACAGGGCTAAATGGTGACCCTGACTATAAGACATTTAATTCTCTGTACAATCAGATTCATTATGTTTCCTCCCCAGCAGTATTTTCACATGAAGTGTCACTTCTAGAAAATGGCTTTTCTTCCACAACTAAAGTAAAATCACTTGGGGAATCTTTAGAACGATAGAGAAGTTTTGATTAAGGCCGAGGGATTGTCTTGAAGCAGACCAAGGGCATGATCACCTTCAGTCTCTACAGAAGTTGAACTGAGTTCTTCCCCTGTCTATTCCTAACCCTTGAAACATTCTTGGCATGTTTAATGTTCACAATGCTACATGACATGGTTTTTAATCAAAGCTGGCTTTATATTCTATCTTCATCACTGATAAGCTTCTGGACGTCTGGCAAGCCACTCACATTCTTTTCAGCTTCTGGGAACTTCTAAGTATTAAGTATGCTGCAATGGTTTCTCGGAGCAGGATATGGAGGGTCTTCCTAACTAAACCATTTTTAGAGATGCTTATGAGGTACCTAACAAGGTGGAATACTACGATTTAGATAAGCTCTTTATAAAGATTTTAAAATTATAGGTGAATATATGTTGCAATGATAAAAACTGTTGGAATCATTATGCAGACAGATCTGCATAGAATTCAAGTAATCTGCTACATTCTGATGTACAGAAAAGATAAGAGTCCATAACTACTAAGAAACGAGATTGAATTATCTAAGATTTGTATATTAGTACTATCCACAAGTATCTGCAGTTCAAAATCAGATGTATCAAACTTCAACATTCTCCAGTATTTCTCTGGTTTGAACCAAAACTTTCTAGTAAGTCCAGAATCTATTTAAAGCATCCTGCGATTGATCAGCATCAAGACTGCAAACTTACCTTACACAGTATCTTCCCCAAACACGATGATCTGAATATTTAGAGAGAAACCTTACAGAACTAAGGTAGTACATGCAATTGTTCAGCATTTCCTTTTATGTAGTAAGTATGGGGAACTAAGAGGCATACATCAGACTTTCTAAACTGGAGGTATTCTATGTTCTGTATTTCAAACTTGTTTTCTGAACTGAAACAGGGGAGTACAGGCAGGGAGAGTATGAATTCAAACAAGAAGGTACAGTGGATTAGGCGTGGGAATTACATCTTGTTGGCAGAAGGATAAGGGTCAGTCCCTAACTTATTGAGACTTTTTAAAATACAGTGATAGGTGAATCCTTTGAAGATCGAGAAATAGAACAGCCTGAATCTGTAAATGCCTAATGTCAGTTGACAGCAGCTGCATTATGCAGGCTGTTAAGATAGAGATCCAGTGACAAATAGAGCTTGCATCATGGTGATGGCTAGTACTCCCATTCAGGAGATACATTGACATCACTGTCTCTGGGGTCCTTGTCCCTAGCCTGCAATTACAGTTCATATAAAATGTGACAGACTCCTTAAGAAAAATGTAACCTCTCAATTTACAAAGTAAACACCCAAGATAAGTCAGGTTGCTGGCAGCTGCAACTTAAATTGCTTTTTTCTCTTTTACTTTGTTCACGACATTGTTTTGAAAGTTTCTCTTTTTACACTTCCAACTTTCAGGCATCTCTCTTGAAATAGAAATCAATGTTTCTAAGGAAGTATTGTCTTGCAAAAGATACATTTTGGGCCATTCCCCATCACTCAAGTATTAGTATGTAATCATCCTGTCTTTCTTGTAACTTGTAATACATAAAACTTTCAGCATTGCAAGCATTTAAAAATATTCATTTTACTAATCTCAGTGTATATAAGATCTTTGAGTTACTTCAAGAAGACAGACCTTTTCTCATCCAGTATTCTCAAAAGGGCCCACAACGATTCCTGGGGGGAGCGGGAAGGGTGGGGGGGAATTTTAGACCCTGCAGTCTTGTTGTGCTGCAATCTATGCCTGCATGATCTTGGCTTTCATGTAATTCATATTTACCTCACTGGTGTTTAAGTTAGTGGGGGTTGGAATTCAGGTTTTCTGAGGCTGAAGCTTATGCAATCTGGGGCATCTTAAGAAAACAGGCTACAAATCATGATTGCACAGGTATAATATTCTCTTCAGTGAAACTCCAACAAAATTACACCTTTAGAAAGCTGACAAAATACCACGAAGAAATACATAAACACCTCAACTTAAATCTTAACTGGTTGAACTTACCACTTTTACCATTTTTTCCAACAACTGGCTACATTACTATGTACTCTAATATTTTCTATAAGCAAGAAGAGATGATTCAATCCTAGTATGGTTGGTTGAAATTTTTTAAGTTTTTTGGTAGTTTAGAAAATTCTTTGGGTCTTTCCCCTTTGTTTAGGATTGAGGTCCAATCTGAGAAAGCCACTGTTAAATTACTTTCATATATGACCTGCCTTAGCTTCCCCAAAAGCTGACCTTAGAAAATATTTGAAACTGAGAAAAATGATTCAGAGCAGTCTGAAGAATGTGAGCTTTACAAAACGTCTTAGGCTCAGAGACGCGAGCATGAGAATTCAATAACTTCCCTACCCAGCCCTGCTCACACATGCGCACCTGGGGTTGTTTAAAGGAATTTTATACTTCCCCCCGCTCCCCCGAAGTTTCCAGACTAGCTGATAAGTTACCTAAAATGTTACAAGTTGTACAATATGACCTTTACCAACCATCTTCATGTTCCCTACAGAGAATAGTGTATAGCTTATCAATAGCTACAAAAGAACAATGTCTAGTTGATCAATAGTTTATGTCAGCTTAGAACTTCCCTTTTCCCTTAGAGGCCCCATTATAACTGCTGTTAGTTGGAGCATTTATTTAAGGCTACTAGAATCTGTCTCCTCAGATTGCATTTCCCAATCTTGGTCCAAATATGCGTGTTAACTTTGCCTCAGTTTTTTCCTTTAGGTTGATACAACCATCACCACCATCCATCTCCAGGACTTTTTCCTCATCCCAAACAAATCTTCTGTACCCATTAAACATTAACTGTATTTTCTCCTTTTCCTCATCTCTGGGGTAAGGTGTATTCTGTTTCTGTGGATTTTCCTCTTCTAGGTACTGTAGCAAACCTGTACAATTGCTACTTGAGACGGTCACTACCGCAGTTACTGTTACTGCTTGAGATGCTCATTACAGGACTGAGCGAAGGGAGGTAGAAGTGGGGGAAAAACACTGTTCGAAGGCTAAGCTCGGGGAAGAAGAGCTCCCAGCTTCTAGTGAGCAAGGGCAGCCGCCCCAGCTTCTCAGCACTCCGCATGGATCGAGTAGGAGCAGGGAGGAGGACGCACGATTGATCAGCTGCGTGACTGATCGCAGGTGCACATGGTTGCGATCGGACTTTCCCACGCACCTAATGACACACTCGTGCCTGCGCGTGACGCCCTCCGCTCCACCTCCGCGCGGAAACGCAGTCTCTCAGTTTGCCAACATTCTGCATTTGTGAGAAGCAGTTTTGCTGCTTACTCGTCCGGCCTCCAGTGGTAAACCGAGCCGATCGCGACCCTCGCCCTTTCGGCCTCCAACCCTTTTTTAAATTATGTCTGTCCCTGTATTATGGGGGTTGAGGTCAGCGGGACTGCGGTCGGCCCTCGGTCCCGAGGGCACCCACACGGTTCATCTCCTGTAAAGACACAGGCATGTCCTGTCCCCACGTTAGTAACTCTACAAAAGCAAAAAGCTTTCTGGGGCTGCAGCCGGGAGCCAGGCCATTGCCGAGGCCTCCGCTCCACAAGCTGCGGCGCAGCTTCTGCCTCTTGGCCTAATTGCTGCGGGGTAAAACTTTCCGTTGATAGTGAAAGCAGCTTTTTCTGATGAACAGAAGGCACAGAGAAAACAAGTTGAGGCTTATCCTTCTCGTGCAACAGTGTAGCAAAAAAGCAATCCTTAAACCTTCCATTTGCACTTACACAGGCGGGTCTGTTAGATGCTGTGGGTTGTGATAGCTTTCTCCCAGCTGTACTTGCAGATGCCTGACCTCCTCGCTTCTTACGTAGAGAAGGGTACAATTTACAGGGGATGAGCAACAGCTGCGCAATATATTCTCCTGCTTCAAAACCCAGAGATCTTGGGACATGACCGCTACCTGAATTTCTCCATAAGCCGAAGAACTCCTGGGACTTCAGTAATGCCCCGCAAGTTAAGATGACTTCTGCCTAAAATTAATCCCACCTATCCTGTTGGCAAAGGTCCCAAACGCCAGTGTGAGTCAGGTTGCTTTCCCCCCCAAGGCCGGTTGCTTTCCCCGCCAAGGCCGGTTGCTTTCCCCCTCCAAGGCCGGTTGCTTTCCCCTAAACCCGTTCATTTGGGAGATCTAATCCTGGGCTTCCTGGTGCTTGAGGAGGGGGAGTCAAAGCACCTCCAGAAACCCCCCTGAAACGGAGTTGCGGCCTGGACTGGGGAAGCCCCCTTGTTCGAGGTGCCCAGGTCCAGGCCCGCTTCTGGTTTCCCCACAGGGAGTGCCGTTCTGGTCAAATATAGAGTAGCATTGATTAGCCTAGTGATTTCCCTTATTTCAACGAGGGCAAAGTCCTGGCACTTTTTCTGTTGAGAAGAGAACTGTTTTAAAGACCCCTTCTGCCCAGAGGTCTGACGGCATTCTCTTTTGCAACGTCCGATTCTCTACACTTACAGCTTTTCCACTCTAGGGCTCAACCCTTGGCTCCTTTTAGATCCGTCAACTACCAAAATTATCCGTTGCCTGAATCAACATTATAAAGTAGTGAAGCTCAGTTCCCACATCTTGAAAAACTAAGAAAACCTCCTGAACTTTCTGCACACCTCACAGGTGCCACTGCACGTTCCCAATCCACATTTGTAGCCTCATAAGCCATAGTCAAAGTGAGCATTTCTGTAGCCACAAAAGATGCTGCCAGCCAGTTTTCATTCTCCCTCGTTTACCACTTTTGATAGGTGCTCTAAGTGGGGCAAAATAGTCTCTCCGGCCCTGAAATAACAGAAAAGGTATGTACCAAACTCCAAATGAAAGAAAAAAATAACCAAATTCTTCCCCATGCTACCCTGATTCAAAAACTTCCCGTTCTTCAAACCTCTGGGGCACTGACAAGTACCTTTTTAGAGCACTAGCCTTATGTTGCTGCTGGCAGACTTGTAATGGGGCTTCTCGTTTGTCTGGCTAGTTTTAGTTTCTGTTCCAGCAGACCTTCCTCGTTCAAGTCTCTATAGGACCCTGTCTGTCCCTGCAAGTTTCTGCTGGTCTCTGCTAGTCTTTATCTATCCCTATCTGTCCCCATGGTCCCTGTTAGTTCCTGCAAGTTCCTGTCTTTCCCTACCTATACTCTTTCTCTCTATCCCTGCTAATCTATTTATCCCTCCAGGCCTCTTCAGGTCTATACTTGTCCCTAGATGCCCCTGTTCAGGCACCACTTGTGACAGACTTGTACAATTACTACTTGAGACCATCATTACAGGACTGAATGAAGAAATGAACGTAGAAATAGTAACAAAAGACAGAAGAAAATGGTTTTAAGGAAAGGCTCGCTTAGGGGAAGAAGAGAGATCCCAGCTGCTAGTCAGTAAAGGCAGCCGCCCGAGCTTCTCAGCCCTCCGTATTTATTGGGTAGAAAGAGCAGGGAGGAGGATGTCACAATTGGTCAGCTACTTGATTGATTACAGGTTCACATCATTGCTATCAGACTTTCAGACGTACCTAATAACAAGAAACACTTGTGCCTGGGGCGTGACCGCCCTCAGCATAACCTCTGTGTGGCAAACGCAGTTTGTCAGTTTGCCAACATTCTGCATTTATGAGAAGCAGTTTTGCTGCTTACTCACCCAGCCTCCAGTGGGGTACTCAGTTGATCACGACCCTCACTCTTTCGGCCTCCAACAGGGTACCTCAAATGAGTAGAATCATACAATATTTGCCTTTATACTTACTTCACTTCATTTTCAGGGTTCATCCATGTGGCAGAAAATATCAGAGTTTCATTCCTTTTGAAGGCAGAATAGTATCACATTGTTTGTATATATCACATTTTGCTCATTTATTTGTCTATTGATGGACACAACCTTTTGGCTATCGTAAATAATGGAGCTATGAACTCTGTTGTACAATTTTCTGAGTTCGTGATTTTAATTCTTTTGAATTTCAAAAATAATTTTGAAATTCTTTTGAATGGTATCTTCTATAAGTTGAGACATACACATTTGTTGTGTAAGTCACTGAGATTTTGGGGTGTTGTAGGTAAGTCCTATGAAGGACTCAGTGTGAGCAGACTGGTGCACTGTTCTCCCTTTTCATGGATGCATAGGAATATGGTTGGGGCTAGAATGACAAAACACTGGCTATTTACCTTGAAATACTTTAACATAATAATAAAGGGAGTTTAAAAAGGAACTGATTGTTTGAGATACTGAAGAAATAGAAATAGATTCAGAGATTAATGAAGATAGATACTTAGAGCCAGAACTACAGTTAGAGATATAGATTCAATGTTCTCTCTCTCCCAAGATAGACAGATAGCTAGATAGATAGCCGGAGGATATGAATACAATCTGGCAAGCTGATTCTTAAAATGATGATCAAAGAGCCAAGAATAGCAGCCAAGATAATGTTAAATAAGAACAATGCAGATAAATTGTCATACCAGAAATTCAGATTTACTTTCAAAGTTAAACTGTTAAACAGTATACAACTCACACATCACAAGACAAATAAACCAAAAAAAAAAAAAAAAAGAATAAAGAGTTCAGAAATAGGTCCATGTATCTACAGAAATTTTATGAAACCTTATTTCATCTGACAAATGTTTGTCGAATTTATACTATGTACAGCCATCTGTTGAACTATTAAGACCCTTGGGATATATTTGTTTGCAAAATAGGTGCCTGTCCTCATGAAGCTGCCCATGTAGCCCAGAGGCAGTGAACAATAACAAACAGAAGAAAGAAGTTAACTATATAGTCTGTCAATGTCAAATGGTATAGAGAAAGGGAAAAAGTAGATTAAGAGAGAGAAAGAATTGCTGAAGCTGTGGTAATGTTTGTTGCTTTTTACAATGTCATCGATAGTACAGATCTCTTTGGAAGGATAACATTCATGCAGTCTTGAGGACATAAAGAATTTAGCCCTGAAGAGAGTGTTGGGGTGGGAGGGATCCCAAGTGGAGAAAAAAAAACAAAACAAAACTGGTAGGACAGGCCTGAGGTGAGAGTGTACATGGCTTATTCAAAGAATGACAAGAAGGCCAGGATGGCTAGAGCAGTGAGGGAAACAGTGGCACAAGCAGACATCTAAGAGGCAATGGGGCAGAGGAGCATGTAAAAGGGCCCTGTAGAGCTTCCTGTAAGAATTTTAGATTTTACTCCCAATAAACGGTGAGCTGCAGTGGGGTTTTAATCACCAAAGTGGCATGATCTGACGTTTCTTCAACTGCTGCTTTAGAAATAACCCTTAGAGGATTTAGGTAAAGCAGGAACATATTGTAGAAATGGTTGGAACCTAGGTGTCTTCTGAAGGTAGAGCCAACAGGATTCCTTTACTAGTTGGATGTCAGTTTCAAGGGAAAGAGAAGCACCAGGGGCAACTCTAAGGGCTTGGATTGAGCAACTGAAATTATGGACCTCCTACCAGTGGGCCTAAGGAAAGACGCAGTTGCAGGAAGTTTAGGGTGGGAAGACAGAGGCACAGATCAGTTTGGTGAATGCCAAGTTTGCTTTGAACTGCAGTCATTAATACATAGATATTATTATATAGATACATGTTTATAGCTAAGAACCCCAATGAGCTTAACAGAGAAAAGGTACAGGAAAAAAAAGAAGAGGACCCATAACTGAGCTAGGAGCCCTCCAGTATTAAGAAGTGGGCCTGGAGAAATGACACAAGGAGAAAAAAAATTAAAAGGAAAAACAAAACAATGAGTTAGGAAAAGCCATCAGTATGGTGTACTTGAAGACAGATGAAAATGCAACAAAACAAAACAAAACACACATCTTCAATCGAGGGAATAGACAGTTATATCAAAACAAGGAAAAAAACAGACAAACAAAAACTGTGCTGATGGCCCTGAAAGATTTGATTTATCCACATAAAGATCATTGAAATGAGAGGTAAATATCCTGAATAGAGAGGACAGTGGAGGAATTAGGGAGACCAAGAGCAGGCAAAGCTTTTGTGGAATGTGACTATAAAGGAGACAGAGATGTCACTGCAGATCTGGGAAAAATAAATTTATCAAGTTGTATTGGGAAAATTGTTTGTTCATATGGGGAATGGAAAATTTGCCTAAAGTCACATACCACAGATATGTTTTAGGCGGGTTAAAAACTAAAAGGTGAAGAAACAAACAAAAAAAAAAACTATGAGCTTTTAGAAGATAAGATAGGATAATATTTTCTTGACTTCAGCTTGTGAACAGATTAGTTAAGACACAAAAAGAACTAATATAAAGTAAAATGTTGGTAATTCAATTTACAAATAAATAAAATTTAAACACTTGGATAGGTCACAAACTAGCAGATGTGTAACAAAACTGAAAACAAAATATCCAGCACATGTATAAAAAAATTCTTATGTGTCTATAACAAAAGGCCAAAATTTGATAGCAAATGGGAAAAATACTTGAATAGGTACTTTACAAAAGAGAAACTCTAAATGGCTGATAAATCAAAGAAAAGTTACTCAACCTCATTATAAGTCAGAAAAATATATACCCATCAATTCTACCCATAGGTATATGCACTATGTTTTTTGCATTTATATATGAAAACATAAGGACATAAATGTCAATAGCAAAAACATTCATAATAGCCCCAAGCTGAAAATAACATACATACCAAATAACTATAGAATAAATATATCAATTAAGATATTCAATGACATTGCATATGCTAAGGAAAATGAGCAAACTATACAAGATAATGAGCTGAATATCACAAAAATTATATTTAGCAAAAAAGTCAAAATAATATATTCAAAGTAACTTCATTTTTAAAGTTCAAAATTAGGCAAGAGTAAACTCTGTTGTTTACAGATAGATACCGTATTAGTCCGTCCTCATGCTGCCATAAAGACATACCTGGGACTGGGTAATTTATGGAGAAAAGAGGTTTAATTGACTCACAGTTGCTTAGGCTTTACAGAAAGCATGGCTGGGGAGGCCCCGGGAAACACACAATCATGGGGGAAGGTGGAGGGGAAGCAGGTACAATCTTTACAAGGCTGAGCAGGAGAGAGAGAGTGAAAGGGGAAGTGCTTCACACTTTCAAGCAACTAGATCTCAGGAGAACTCACTCAGAATCATGAGTACAGCAAGGGGGAAATCCACCCCAGGATCCAATCACCTCCTACCAGCTACCTCCCTGAACACTGGGAATTACAATTCAACATGAGATTTAGGTGGGGACACAGAGCCAAACCATATTGATACATAAGATGTAAAACTATGAAAATAATAAAGGAAACTAGTCACCTATCAGCTAAACAGACAGTACCTGATTCATTCAGGCCAAAATGTGAAAGTATTACTAACCACAGGTTCTTGGGCTCCTGTGCAATAGAAATGGACATGAGACCAAGCAAGTTTTCCAGACAAGGCTTTATTAAGGGCTTGTGCTCGAACACAAGGGAGACAGCACTGGAATGACAGTTCTCTGGCTGGTTCCCCATGGCTAGGCCTTTGCTGTGTTTTAAGATGAGTGACATGGATAATCATGAGGTATGGGAGGCTCTTTATACATGTGGAGTGGAGCACAGGATATGCAGGCACAGTGAGAAATTATGTGAACACATACATTGCATGATCAAAAAATGGTGGGTAAGCCCTTCCCTGGGTGGAGATTTTAGTATTATAATGAAGCAAGGGGTAAAGATCAGTCATTCTTCTGGTCTTATGCACATGTGAGTGATAAGGTTAACTCCCTTGAATAAGATTTATGGTGGAATGCTGCTTATCTTAGTTTCTTCAAGTTATCCATGCAGTGGGTATCGTGCCAGTGGAGGTGGTGGTGCAAGGTCTGGAAGTTGGCAGGTACGGGAAAAAAAATGTGATAGTAGGAGTGGGGGCCAAGCCCTGTCCTTACTGTGTTTCAGAAGTAGGTTATGTGTATTGATACAGTTCAGACACACATTGTATCCCTGATATAATGAACTGATACAGTTCAGACACACCTCATATCCCTGATATAATGAACTGATACAGTTCACAGACACACATTGTATCCCTGATATAATGAACTGATACAGTTCAGACACAACTCATATCCCTGATATAATAAACGGATACAGTTCACAGACACACATTGAATCCCTGATATAATGAACTGATACAGTTCAGAGACACATTCTATCCCTGATATAATGAATGCATACAGTTCAGACACACCTCATATCCGTGATATAATGAACGGATACAGTTCCGACACACATTCTATCCCTGATATAATGAACTGATACAGTTCAGAGACACATTCTATCCCTGTTATAATGAATGCATACAGTTCAGACACACATTCTATCCCTGATATAATGAATGCATACAGTTCAGACACACATTCTGTCCCTGATATAATGAACGGATACAGTTCAGACACACATTCTATCCCTCTTAGTGATGCTAAGCCTAAGAATCTAGGAGTATAGAAACTTTAGCAAAATCCCGTATAAATGGACTGCATGGACCACATGAGCTGTGTTGTGACTTCCCTGTGAATGAGATGGGTCACACCATAAGATGATAGTATCAAAACTTTGCAAAGTTTATAATTAGTGGTACAGGGGGCGGGGGTGGGGGGGAAGTAAGACATTTTTTCCTTGCTCATCAAAAGGTTCGTGGTTGGTAACTTCTAACAAAAGACAGATTAGCAACAGAAAAGTATAGCAAATTTACTTAGTAGAAGTTTCATGAGGCATGCGAGCCTTAAAAGTATGATTAGAACATTTAAAAATATGATATAATGGAAATAAACTTAGGAGGAGGACTTAGCGAGGTTTGTTCAGATTCTTAGTGGCCTCCCCATGTGACATTTTTTTCCCTCTGGGCATTGGTCAGGGCCCCTCTGGAATAAAGGGCTTATTACCTTCTCTCAGAACAGGTAGGTCTGAGAATTCTTTTGTGGACAGCTCTCAGGGGAGAAGGGCAGAAAAAATCAGAAAGTGACTTTTCTACCTCTTCGGTTTTCTCAGTTTTCTTCAGCTTATTTAGTATGTCAAGTTTGCATTTGATGAAAAAGCTGAACACTGTAAAATATTTAAAGAGGTTTATTCTGAGCCAATATGAGTGACGATGGCCGGGGAAAAGCCTCAGAAGATCCTGAGAAAGTGTGCCCAGGGTAACTTCTGTCTCCCTAAAACTTAGGGAAAGAACTTGCAGGCAAAGTCATAAATCAATACATGTAAAATATACATTGTTTCAGCCTGAAAAAGCAGGACATGAAGTGGAAGGCTTATGAGTCATAGGTGGATGCAAAGATTTTTCTGATTGGCAATTGGTTGAAAGAGTTAAACTAAAGACTTGAAGTCAGTAGAAAAAAATGTTTGAGTTAAGGTAAGGGAGTTTGTGGAAGCTAAGATTCTTGTTACATATATGAAGCCTCCATGTAGCTGGCTTCAGAAAGAATAGATGGTAAATGTCTCTTTTTGGACCTTAAAAGGTGTGAGCCTCACAGTCTATCTTTCCTGGATCTGGAAAAGGCCTAGCTGCACTAATGGCAGATGCAAAATTTCCCCCACAAAAGATAGCTTTGCAGGGCCATTTCGAAATCTGTCATATAAATATATTTTGTGGTAAAATATTTTTATTTCTTTCAGTGTCTACTATCTGTCATGTGATGCTATATGGGAGTCAGGTTGGAATTTGGTATCTTATTGTTTTGTCAGTCCTGTGATCTCTATTTTAATGTTAATTCCACAATGGAGGGAGTGCAACAAGGTGTGCCCAATCCCCCTTCCCTCATGGCCTGAAATTTACTTTTTCAGATTGCTCTCAGCTCCACTGGCCAAGAAGGGGAATCCATTCAGTTGATTGGGGGGCTTAGGGTTTTACTTTTAGATTTCATCAAGAAGCCATATTTGGAAGGATCTTGTTCTGAGCCCTGACAGAGGAGTTTAAAATTTTTCACATCTGTCTATTAATTCATCATAGACTAAACTAGTTTACGCAGTTAAATAAAATAATGAACTATTTCAAAACAAAATTTGACTCTAGTAGACAGTGTCTGCACAATCATAGCAATCCAGTTGTGAAAAATGTTATAAAAGAACCAAGAAATAACCATGTGACTACAAAACAATGAGGGATTAGGCATCAGAAGACTGAAAATAAGCAACATACTTGAGTGTACTCTATTTTCCATCTCTCTGATTTTATTGTATTTACTCTTGCATTCCATGAGACAGTGTTTCTGCCTCTATCCAAAATTAGACCTCCTACTTGGGCTCTGTGTTGCAACCTCAGAAAATAGTAATAATAATAATAATAAAATAAATCCCAAGCCCTGTAGTTGACTGAATGGGAACTCTCTTGCCCAGGGAGATCTCAAAGAAATCTGAAAAACTAGTTCAGGCCATGACAGGAAGGGAGGTCAGACATGACTCCTTGTACTCCGTTTGTTTGGAGTTTAGGTACAACTGACCAGCATTAACATTAACACAGTGATTATAAGACGGACAAAACAGACTGTGGCAACAATAGCAAATTCCAACCTGACTCTGATATAGAATCACATGACAGATAACAGGCCCTGAAGGAAATAAAAGTATTTTACCGCAGAATGTATTTCTTTGACATGTTTTGGAATGGCCCTGCAAAGCCAACTCTTCTGGGGGAAATCTGAATTCTGTATAGAATCTGCTTCCCTTTCTATGTCTCATAAGGATCCAGAAAACATTTAACTAAGAGTCTGACACCTTTTACCATCTATCCTCTCTGAAGCCTGCTACTGAGAAGCTTTCATAGGTGGATTAAAAAGTTTTTTGACTGGCAATTTGTTGAAAGAGTTAAGCTAAATACTTGTGGTCTCTAGCATTTCCATTGAGTGCTAAATGACTGACCAGCATTAACATTAAAACAGAGATCATGAGACTGACAAAACAGATTATAGGTGGTAATAAGATACTAAATTTCAACCTGACTCTCATATAGCACCACATGACAGATAGCAAACCATGAAGTAAATAAAAATACTTTACCCTGAAATATATTTATTCGACAAATTTTGAAATGGCCCTGCAAAGCTATCTTTTGTGGGGGAAATTTTGCATCTGTAGAGAAACTTTATTAATGCCGCTAAGCCTTTTCCAGATCCAGGAGAGAGTAACTAAGAACCTGACACCTTTTAAGGTGAAAGAGAGACATTTGCCAACTATTGTTTCTAAAGCCTGATACATGGAAGCTTCCTCTACATGACAAGAACGTTGGCTTCCGCAACCCCATTATCTTAACTCAAGCGTTTCTTTCTATAACAAAAACCTTGGCTTCCACAACTATGTAATCTTATGCATTCCTTTCTACTGACGTTTTAAGTCTTTAGACAAAGCTTAACTCAACCAATTGCCAATCAGAAAATTGGTGAATCTATTTCTGACCTGGGAGCCTTGACTTTAACATGTCTAAATTTTCTGGAACCAATATATACCCTTCATGTATTGATTTATCTCTTTGATTATAACTTTGTCTCCCTAAAATGTATCAAACCAAGCTATAACCCAACCACAATGGGCACATATTCTCAGGAACATCTGGGGTTGTGTCCTGGGCCATGGTCACTCATGGCTCAGAATAAACCTCTTCAAATATTTTAGAGTTTCACTTTTCTTCATCAACATTATTTGGTGCCCAATGCAGGACCTCAGAGAAGACTAAGGACTCTCCTCCCCAAAAGAAGTTGTGTGAACTTGGAAATAAGGTACCAATATGGGCTTGTTACCAGTGGAGGGTCTTGACTACAAGTTGTCCAGGTCCTGCTTCCAGACCTTGGTGTTTTCTCTTTTAGGAAGTTAGCATAAATTGGCCTTAAGTTCCCTGTCTCCAGGTCTCCAGATCATATTCTCCTGCTGCAGGCTCATTGAAAGCCTCCTGACTTTGAGCTTCTCCATAGGTGGAACTGGTAAGTAAGTCTTCCTGAGCCACAGAACCCTTACGTGGTTAATAGTACTTTGGTTTATTCTGAGCTGGTCTTTTCCTGGGAACTTGTTGTTTCAGATTCTAATTTTGGATTCACAGGTTCATTCTAGAGTCTTCTCATTGCTTTTTTCTCCAAAAATTAGTCTCAATTGGTTCATCTGTGCATTTGCTTGAAAAACCTGACTTTGTGTAAATGAATGAGAGACAGCTTCTGAGCCCCACTGCACTGAAACCCACACTACAGTCTGGCTCCTCCATTAAAAAAAAGAAAACCTGGGAAGCAAATCCTCTAAGATTGAGAAAAGACAAGGAGATGACCTCCTTTGGGGCACCCCTGGGGGTTTTATGGCACTCGCAATTGTTTGTGTAAATGTGAAGTTTTGAGAGCATGCTTGGTTTTCTAGTACTCTGGCTGGTTATGTATTATAGTCTGTTCTGGCACATTTGTAAACTGATGGGTAAATTCAGAGCTCAAAGTTGACCTGCAACTATAGAATTAAATATGGCATCTGCTTAGTTCTTGATTTCTCTCTTTTCTTTTTCTGTTTTAAATGTATTGTTGCTTTTCTACTGGTATTGAGATAAAACCCATTGTTTAAATTAAACCATCTTTTGCAAGCTGGTGAATCTGTATTGCTGTCTTGTGACTAGAATTCTGAAATAAAATCTATGGGATCTTTGTATCCGTGTATCTATGTTGAGTTGTGTTTATGTTACATGTACATGTATTTTCTTATATGTTGTAACTGCAAGGTATCAAATGGGCTTAAAAATAAAGGATTACTCATAAACTAATAAAGTCCAAATGCTCTTCAAGTTCACATGACAAGTAAATCTTCAATAAGTAATCTGGTTTTATAATTATTAGTAAAATAAAATTTGAAATGCCTTCAGAATTGTCAGCGTACATTTTTGTCTGGATTTATTGGTAAAATAGTTTTGTATTTAGCTGTGTTGATATTATAAAGTACCAAACTTTGTCATGAAGGTTATAAAACTATAAAACCCATCCCTTAATGATCTTTGCATAATTTTTTATAAATAAGACATTTAATATTGTTGATTTATTGAAAATAGGTAAAACCTTAGCTGGCAAAAAAAAAAATCAAATAAACATATATTTAACATTTAGGTTCTTATGTAGGTAAACACCTGAAATAAACACAGCCTATAAGAATGGTTAGCTGAAAATAACTAATGATGACTAGCTTTGTCTAATATGTCAGTTTTTATAAGTAACCTAGGAAAACTATTTTAAAAAATAAGTTAGTTAACTTTAATGGGATAAGTGCTTATAAATGAACTTGTCATATAATTTAAAATCTTAAAGTTAAATTAAATAATACTCATTTAGTGTCTGGATCACTTCTAATTTAAAAAACAGAAAAACATATTTCTAAAATAATATAAAACGGTTCTCATCTATAAAATACTGATATATGACAGACAATTCAAGATTTACTACTTCCTAGGTTTTCACAAAAAATTAAGGTTACTAAGAATAAAAATTCTTGTTAATATATAATTCTGTATTCAAAGAGTGCCAAAGTAAGTTTTTTTATGAAAAAGAAATTATAATAAAGACATAAAAATATGTTCTTATTAAAAGGAAAATAATCTTTGTCAAATTCAAAGGCTATTATACAAATCCAAAGATGTATTTATTTTAAAAATTGGGTAAAAAGAATAATTTTGTATGAGAAAGAGTCTTGTATAGTAAATTTAGTCCTAAAAAAAAAAAAAACTCGTTATTTAAGAAAGAGGGAAATTTTGGACAAAACAGAAAGTCCAAGTATGTCATAAATAGTCTGTGTAAGATATGATAAAGTTTATAAAGAGAATTTATGAAAGAAATGTTTTGGAGGCTAAAGCTACTCTTTCTTAGATGGGAGGCTCAAGTAACTCCATCTTGAATGGTGATCTGCCCTGTTGGCTTCTGATTAACTCCAGGTGGGAAGACCTTTAAGATTTCCAGTTTATTTATTGCTCCTTGTGTAAGAACAGGTACTTATTATAAATCCTGCCCTTAGGACAAACAACTTTTACATTATCATACTTCAGTTGTCCCACATATGCCTTCTGAATCATTCCTTCTCTATGGCATATAAGCCCTGGGTTCTGGGGTTAATGGCACAGGAATTTACCATCTTATCTCACTGCTGCCTGAGACACAGACATGGCTTCTGTTCATAAGTCCCTATTAATTGTTTCTGCCTAAGAAACTGTATTTATCAGCCTCTTTCTTCAGCATCTCAGCTTCCTCCAACTTTGGATAGGTTTGTATAGACCTGCTCACTGCAAAACAATTTTGTATGTGATTAAGCTGGTGATAATTTAAAAAGAATTATTCGTATTAGTGTTTTTAGAGATTGGGATTTAATATTAAAAATACACAAATAGAAAAACCACCTATTGGGTACTATGCTTATTACTTGGGTGATGAAATAATCTGTACACCAATCCCTTGTTACATGCAATTTACCTATATGACACCTACCCAAGTACCCCCCTGAACCTAAAATAAAAGTTCATAAAATACATGAATATAAAACTGACGAATTGGTTAGAACAAATATATTTTCTTAAAGTATTGATTTACTTTTGATGAAATTACAAAAAGCTTTACATTTTTAATTCTATAATCTCTTTTTGAAATTTCTCTGAGGCCAGGCATGGTGGCTCACGCCTGTAATCCCAGTGTTTTGGAAGGCCGAGGTGGGTGGATCATGAGGTCAGGAGATTGAGACCATCCTGGCTAGCACGGCGAAACCCTGTCTCTACTAAAAATACAAAAAATTAGCTGGGTGTGGTGGCGGGTACTTGTAGTCCCAGCTACTTGGGAGGCTGGGGCAGGAGAATGGCGTGAACCCAGGAGGTGGAGGTTGGAGTGAGCTGAGATTGCGCCACTGCACTGCAGCCTGGGTGACAGACCGAGACTCCATCTCAAAAAAAAAAAAAAAAAAAAGAAAGAAATCTCTCAGATTGATATTTCAGAAGCTTAACTCCTGATATACCCCACTGTTTTCAGCTTTTCTCCCTTTGAGAAGGCCTGGAATGGTAACTCCCTCTTTTAACTTTTGTTGTCTCCTATAACTATTTTTTTCTTCAATTCTAACTGTGTTATAGCCTGATACTAAAATGTTTTCTTTTGAAGATTTAAAAAAGTGATGTCTTCCTCTGTTGTAACTTAATTTGTTACTCTTGACTTTTCTTAAAATGTGTAGGGGCCAGGGTCCCTTTGAAGGTTCACTGAAAAATCAACTCAAAAAAGACAGATTCATTGAGAAGCAGATATGCAGTTTTTTGGGCATGTATACATGGGTGTGCTCAGAACAAAGATCCAATAAATGGGGGAAATTGTGCATTTTTATGCTTAGGTTCAAAAAATTAGGGACATCCATCTAAAAATATGATGGAAAAGGGTATAATTCAATGTTAGTGGACTGTGTGGGGAAACCCCAGCAAGACCTGCCTGTGTAG
Source organism: Homo sapiens (assembly GCF_000001405.40). NCBI lineage: Eukaryota > Metazoa > Chordata > Mammalia > Primates > Hominidae > Homo > Homo sapiens. Next base: position 248,419,963 of record NC_000001.11, on the reverse strand, counting down.
ATTCTTCTTAACCTCCTTGAACATTCATTTTCTTCCTTCTCTGTGTGGGGGTCTTGCACTCTACAGTTCAAAAGGAAGATCAGATAATATCCTTATGTTCTTTCACAGAAAGGCAGAGAAAATATTGGAGTAATATTTTTAGGTTTTATGGCTGGCTTTGAGAAAAAGGAGTTTCAGTTTTGAGGACTCATCTTGGGAAAGCGAGATTCTAGTTGCTATGACCCGCCTTGAGGGAGCATGGGACTTGCAAACAGGAAGCCAGAAGAAGGCCAAAGAAAAACTTTTACTTCTGCAGCTGCCTCTAAATCCTTCATTTTGGGATATTGTTTTCTGAGCTCTAACATAGGTTTAAAAGTGCTCAGTATACCCAGGCAACATCCCATGCTGTTGCTAAGAGTCACATATTCCCCTGCTCAAGGTCTCTATAACAGTGTTCACTCATGACATGGAACACACTCTTCCTGTGTCTGATTAATTCACATTATCTTTTCATGAGGCTTGACTTTCAGGTTATCCAAATGGGCTTCCAATGACTCAAAACAATCACTCTGCATAAGGTTTTTCTTTACTTTTTGACAGCTAGCCTAGGAAATACAGATTTTAAGATAATTACTGTGTTGTTATAAAACCCTTAACCATTTTAAAACCTAAAAGTATAGGTTTAAAACCAGGTAGGGTTTTATATTCATGTAACTTTCTATATTGCTTTTGAAGTCTTTTGATTACCATTCTGGTTAAATGAATAACTATTATTTTACAATGACTTTTGATTCATTTTAATCAAATGTTTTGAGCCTTTCAATATCTTTTGACAAACATCCTCAAAAATCAAATTCTAAGTTAAGTCTCTGACTTAGACTTATTGCCGGGGGTTCATCAAAACTATACAAATTAATTACCCAGTGCTATACCATCTTTTTACAGTTTTCAATTAAGTCATAAACTCCACTATCACCACCTCCAGCCTGATGATTAGATCTCACCTAAAAAACTCCCTCCAGCCTCATTGAAAAGGGTCTTTATCAAATATTGTTACTAACCTTTTTGCTCTTAAGTTTCAGGTATTTGACTTCTGGGTACACATATCTCATTTAAAAAGGAGCACTGACTCCTACTGAATCTTAAATGTCAATGCTGACATTGAAGCGAGAAATTTTCCCTGAGTCCTTTGTGGGCAGGAACTGGAGTGCACGGTGCCAGCAGGTGCAAACTCTGTTCACTCAAACCTGCTGTGATCAACCCATCACGGGAGGAAGCATGCAGCTGAGCAGGTGCAGGAGCTGGGGCTAGCACTTTTGGGTGCCGGCAGGAACGAACTTCATTCTGGCCCCATGGCAGCGTCTAGGGGAGTGCCTGTGACCCCCAAAGCCCCAGAAGGAGTGTTACAGTCAGTGCCCTTTTAGCTTTGACATCCACAGATGGCTTAAGTGTTAACAGCTTAGTGGAGGGTAAATGTGACAGCCTTTTGCACCTGCACCCAAGTTCTTGTCTGACATCCAAGAGGAATGAGGTTGCAGGAACAAATTGGAGATGGTAAATGCGGGGATTTCATTGCTGATGAAAGTGGGTCTCAGTGGGAAGGGGAGCAGAAAAGGGAATGGATTGGGAAGGTAAGCTTCCCCTAAAGCTCTGAAGCTATACCATCAAGCTGTCTCTCTGAAATGAAGCCAATTTGCTCCAACATCCAGGCATAGTCACTGATGTCCTGCTGCTTCTCTTCTTTGCCAGCTGAGCCTGGGATTTTATGGGCACAGGATGATGGTGGGGACAGGCCATTGGTAGTTTTAGAAAAGGCAACATTAGAGTGGGAAACAGGAATGTATGTTCTCACTCTGGGCCACAGTTCCAGGTTTGAGGGTGGGGCCCTCACCCACCCTCTTCGGCCCAGAATTTTTCTGCTTCCTGTCGCTATCAGTATCTGACATCAAATGTAAGTTAACCAAAGCCTCATCTTCAGAGCTGGGAGAAGATGAGAGTGAAAAAAACTGCTTTTGTATGACACTAAACCAGGCTTGTATACAAAGGCATGAATACTCATTTAATAATTTTTTCTCTATCTAAATTAATATAATTTGTTCTATGCCTTAATGTTAGATAATAAATGCTAGCTACCTGTGAGTTTCCGTCTTCTGTCAGAGCAAGGCAGGAATTAAGCTCTTTTTCTTTAAAATGTTGCTGATTCCTTACATTTTGTTTTCCAGAGTAAAAAAAGAAATGCCTTTTCCTTTTGAGCTATATGTAGCTTACAAAATTGGTAAAACACAGATAGATTACCTTTGTCTCTCTACCTAATATCTGCCAAATGTAAAACCTGCTTAGACTCTCACTGGGCCTGATCTGTCTTCATTGCTAACACCTTGCTACTAAGGCTACATAGGCACCTTCCCTCTAGACCCAGGGGCTACTGTGGAAGAGGTGGGCAGGTGAGCTTGTAAGGGATTAATTTCAGAGACAGAATTATTTCAGAGCCTCCAAATCAAGGACAGACATCCAGATGCCTAAACAGCTGGCAAGGTAGGGGCCTTTTCCTCCTGGGCTATTACATGGCTGCTTTCCATCCATCCCAACTATAAAGAATTTTATGCTTGTCCCAGGATTAAAAGAAAATTACCAAGAGCATAACAAGAAACCTCGTCACAAAGCCTCCTGGATATACTGCTCCTAGCTGTGAGATTTATGCAGATATATGTAACTTTTTAAATCAGCCACCTCAGGACAAATGATGAAAAAGACCACGAAAAAGCACTGCAGCACAAAACAAGCCTCTGTGTTCTTTAGCTTAAATGGTTTCAACAAAATGCTTTTGTTATTTACAGCTAATTGCTAGAAGTCTGTAACAAAAATCAAGATTATTGTATTGCTCAATGCACAGAATGTATTGATAAGTCAATTTTGTAACCTTATCTTTTGGTTTTGGGCTCTTATATTGCTTAAAGATCTTAACGGCTGATAAATGCCTGCCCATCTCCATTCTCATCCAGCCCTACAACATTTAAATTTGCTATAAGTCTTTTGGCTCTAAGCCCCTTGGCCATACGGATCCCACCAAAGAACATGATGCACCTGGGGCAGATAGCCATAGCCACACACTCTGGCAACAATAGAGGACAAATAAAACTTTGGCCATCAATGTTGCCTCTGGAAAATCTTGACCTGAGGGAGAATAATGTAAACCAAAAATAAAAGTCTAAGCCCCCACCCCAACTGACACTCTCCTGGTTAAGGAGATCGCAAAGAAACCAAACAACTAGAAGAGAGTTCAGACATGACTCTTTCTACCCCCTCTCTTTGGAGTTTAGGCACAACTGAGCAACAGTAATGTTAAAATAGAGGTCCTGAGGCTGACAAAACAGACTCTCTGCAGCAACAAGATACCAAATTCTAACCTCACTCTGGCATAGTATCATATGACAGATAGCAGGTCCTGAAGAAAATCAAGATCTTTTACCCCAAAATATATTTTTGACACATTTTAGAATGGTCCTGCAAAGCCATTTCCTGTGGGGGAAATTTGCATTCTCTAGAGAATCTCCTTCCGTTTCTGGGTCTTTTATGGACCCAGAAGATACTTAACTAAGAGTCTTACACATTTTACAATCTATTCCCTCTGCAGCCTGCTACTTAGAGGCTTCGTCTATATAACAAGAACTGTGGTTTTGAAAACCATCTTACCCTAACTGAAGCATTTCTTTCTACTGATTTCTTAAGTCTTTAGACAAGGATTGACTCTTTCAACGAACTGCTGATAATAAAATCTTTGAATCCACCTATGACCTATAAGTTGTCACTTCAAGAAGTCCCGCCTTTCCGTGCCAAACCAACATACATCTTACATGCATTGATTTATGTCTTTGCCTCTAATTTCTGTCTTCTCCTTAAAATGTATATTGCCTGTAATTTCTGTCATCTTAAAATGTATAAAACCAAGCTGTCACCTGACCAATTTTGGTAAGATTATTCTTGGGATTTCTTGAGGCTGTGTTACAGGCCATGATCACTCATATCTGGCTCAAAATAAACCTCTTCAAATATTTTAGAGAGTTTGGCTTTTGTCAACAGCATATATATATACACACACACACACACACATATATATACATATATAAAAATATATATAACATACATATATATTATATGTAATATACATAATAAATATAAAAATACATACACATATATGTATATGTACATATACATATATAAAAAATATTCCCTTAACCCCATGTCACTATCCATGTATAACTTTATATTTGTTCCATTATTCAGAGCAAACTTTTGTGATTTTCTTCAATTTTTGAGCCTCCTTTCTCCTTAGTCTACTTCACAAGATATTCTGTCCAATCACTCCATCGAAGCCCCTCTGTGAAGGATAGGAACGACTGTTATCTTGCACTCTCAGGCAATCAACTTTCTGTTTCACATTACTTAAACTTTACCCAAAAACTCACATGTAGACCCCTCCCTTCTATTAAAAAGACTGTCTTTTCTAAGTTTCTACCACACCACACTCCTCTGGGTGCTCCACATCTTTTTTATCCCTTTCTTGTCACTTTTTTTGTGGTCTAGTATTTAAATATTGAAATTCTCTTGTCCTATTCTTTAATTCTGTTAACACATAATCTGCGTATCAATAATTCTGAAACCTGTCTTCACATCTACCACCTAAAATGATATCTAGACTAAAATATCTAGCTGCTTGACATTTTTATTTAGATATTCAATAGACATTTCAAACTTAACATACTCATAATAAAGCTCTTAATCTTATACACACACCCCACATTCCCCTGCAGATGACCGTGCTCATAAGAAAGAATATTGATGCATAAAATCATTGGATTGAGGTAAAACAGAGCTTTTTGGGGTTTTTTTCTGTGTTTTCTTTATTTTTATTATTATACTTTAAGTTTTAGGGTACATGTGCACAATGTGCAGGTTAGTTACATATGTATACATGTGCCATGTTGGTGTGCTGCACCCAGTAACTCTTCATTTAACATTAGGTATATCTCCAAATGCTATCCCTCTCCCCCCGACCCCACAACAGGCCCTGGTGTGTGATGTTCCCCTTCCTGTGTCCATGTGTTCTCATTGTTCAATTCCCACCTATGAGTGAGAACATGCGGCGTTTGGCTTTTTGTCCTTGAAATAGTTTGCTGAGAATGATGGTTTCCAGCTTCATCCATGTCCCTACAAAGGACATGAACTCATCATTTTTTATGGCTGCATAGTATTCCATGGTGTATATGTGCCACATTTTCTTAATCCAGTCTATCATTGTTGGACATTTGGGTTGGTTCCAAGTCTTTGCTATTGTGAATAGTGCCCCAATAAACATATGTGTGCATGTGTCTTTATAGCAGCATGATTTATAATCCTTTGGGTATATACCCAGTAATGGGATTGCTGGGTCAAATGGTATTTCAAACAGAGCTTTTTGAAAATGTTAAAGTTTTGAAAACATTACCCAAAGATTATTTTTGAAATGCCAAGATGCATAACCCAAAAGGAAAGTTCATAAGATGTATCCATCACTAGCCATTAAAAAGTACTTTAAATCAATAAAAGTATCTATCGCTAGCCTTTTCTAGGTGTTGACTTATGATATCTTCCGTCATTGAGAGTCAAATATAGTAATAACTGCTTTCTAAATGCTACTGCTTTTTGCTTTTTTTTTTCTTTTCTGAGACAAGGTCCCACTCTGTCATCCAGGCTGGAGTGCAGGGCACGATCATGGCTCACTACAGACTCAACTTCTCGGGCTCGATAAATGCTACTGCTTTCTGAAAGGCAAAACTCATCATGCTGTTATCATCTCTTGCTTAACTTGATACAATCAAAGCACAATATTCCTCAAAAACATAAAAAATAAATTAAAAGTATAGAAATGTCTTCACTCCATTTCAACAAATAGATCCACTATCAATTTTGTTGCTCAAGCTTAAAACCTGGGCACTCTTCTGGATTCTATTTCCTTCAGACCTCATACTTTATTAATCATCGCCTGTTATTCACACCTTCAAGTGCATCCCAGTGATACTACTTCCTGTCACCTCTACTCCTAAAACTCTAACCCGTGCTGAAAATGTCTCTCTTTAGAACGCAGGAAAAGCCTCCTAACAGGTGTTTTTAGTTCATTCTTTATAAAGCAGCTAGAGTAGCATTCTCAGAATGTTATTTATAATCTGTCTTTTCTTTGTTTGAAACCTCTCAATGGTTTTTCTTTGCAAATTAAGTCAAGTTCCAACTTCTGTACCACAGCATGAAAGGCCTTTTCTGATCTGGTCACTACCCATGTTTTCAGACTTGCCTTCTCCACCCATTACTCATTCGGGATCTGCATCACTGTCAAGCCTTCTGAACACATCATTGCCATTTCAGAACATTGGCCCGTGTTATTCTTCCTACCTGGAAGGCTCTACACCTGGATCTTTCTATTCCTGTCTCTTTTTTTTTCTCAAATACAGCCTCAGAAACCTTCTTGAACACCATATCTAGGGTAACCCTCCACCTACCTCCACTATCCCATTATACTATTGTATTTACCACATTATTATGAGTTATATTTTAAATTTGTATCAGAGCATAATGTACACACAAAAAGGTATTCAATATACAAAAAATTTAGACTTGATTGATTTTCTTAAACTGAACATTGGGTATACAATCAGCATTGACATCAATAAACAGAAATTCAAGAACATGCTCATGCATCCTTCCAGCCACCGTCCCTCCAACAGTATAGGATAGTTTTGCTGGATCTGTACTTCATATGAAGGTACTCTTTTGTAGCTTGCTTCATTAGTTCAACAATATGTTTGTAAGTAGTATTAGAACATCTATTCTTATTTTATGAACATGTCACAATTTATCCATTTCGCCATCAGTGGGCTTTTGATTGCTTCCATATTTTATGTTACCATATGTCTTTTGGTAACATTATGCATACATGTTATCTGTTTTTTGTCATTGTAACAGCATATCTGAAGCTGAGTAATTTAAATAAAAGAGATTTATTTAGCTCACATTTCTGCAGGATATACAAGAAAAATGGTGCCAGTATCTGCTCAGTTTCTGGTAAGGGCCATGTGCTTGGTCAAAACATGGTAAAGGTCACAGAGTAAAGCAGATATGTGTGAAGAGAGAGGCAAAAACCAGAGGAACATCTGGCTTTATAGCCACCCACTCTCCTAGGAACTAATCTATTTTTATAAGAACTAATCCAGTCTTGCCAGAGTGAGAACCCACTCACTATCACAAGAATGGCATGAAGCCATTCATGAGGGATATGACCCCATGACCCAAATATCTTCCACTAGGCACCACCTCTCAACACCACCACATCGGGAATCAAATTTCGACATGTATGTTGGTAGAGACAAACCATATCCAAACCATAGCATTCTGCCTCTGACTCCAAAAACCAATGGCTTTCTTACATACAAAAATACAATCATTCCATCCCAGTAGTCCCTAGAGTCTTGACTTGTCCCAGCACCAACTCAAAAGTTTAAAGTACAAAGTCTCATTTGAGACTGAAGGCAAGCTCCTTCCAACTATGAGCCTGTGAAAGCAAAGCAAGTTATTTACCTCCACATTACAATGGTGGGACAGACATTTGGTAAACATTCTCATTCCAAAAAGGAGAATTTGACCAAAAGAAAGAAATGACAGACCCCATGTAAGTCTGAAACCCAGCAGGGCACACATTAAATCTTAAAGTTCCAGAAAAATCTTACTGGACTCCATGATCCTGGGCACACTGGTGTAAGGGATGGGCTCCCAAGGCCTCAGGCACCTCCGCCCTTATGGAATTGCTGGGCATAGTCACATATCTGCTCTCACAAATTGGAGTTCTATGCCTGCCACTTCTCCAGGCTGAGATTGCATGCTGCTGGTGGCTGCAACATTCTGGGGCCCCACTCCCATGCTGCCCCCATGGTTCTGTTAACCATTGCCCCAGTAGGGACTCTCTGTGGCAGCTCTGGGCTCACATTTCCAGTGGGAATTGCCTTAGTAGAGGCTCTTGGCAGTGGCTCCACCCCTGTGGCAGTTTTCTGACTGGACTTTCAGGATTTCCAAGCTGTCCTGTGAAATCTAGGTAGCACATGTAATATCTCTATGGCTCTTTTAATTTTGGCACTTGCAGATTACCATGTGGAAGCTATGGCTTACCATTTGGGCTCTCTGGAGTAGCCAGAGACACATATGGGGCTTTTTGAGCCACTGCTAGATGTACAAAGCAGGGTCCTGATGCAACACAGGGCACCAGGCTTAGGATAGTCTTTCAAAATAACTCTGCTTTCTCAGGCCGTGGGACTGCAAAGAGAAGGATAGCATGGAAGAGCTTTGAAATGCCTTTGGGATTTTGTTCCCTTTGTTTGGACTATTAGCACCTGGCTCCTTTTCATCCACACTAATCTCTTTAGCAAAGGGTCTCTTGGCTGTACCTCTGGTTTCCTCTCTTGAAAACACGAATTCTTTACCACATAGCTGGGCTGCAAATTTTCCAAAAATGTACACTCTGCTTCCCCTTTTCCTGACAGTTAACCTTATGCAGTTAGAAGTAGCTACATAGCAGCATGAGAGCTTTTATGCTTAGAAATTTCTTCCACCAGATATTCTAGTTCATTACTCTTAAATTCAGTCTCCCATAAAGTCCTAGGCCATGGACATCATGGACCCAAGTTCTTTGCAACTGTAGAACCAGGTTGACCTTTCCTCCAGTTTGCAGATAAATACTCCTCATTTCCTTCTGAGAACTCATCACAATGGCCTTTACTTGTCTACATTTCTAACAGCATTTTGGCCAGAACCACTAAAACGATTTCTAAAAAGTTGCAAATTTTCTCTTGTCTTTTTATTTTCTCCTGAGCCTTCTCTTTTCCTAAGCCCTCACAATAATTGTCCTTAATGCACCCTTCATGGTAATGCAGTTTTTTTTAGCCCCCTCCTCCAAACTCTTCCAAATTCTGCCCATTACCCAATTCCAAGCCACTTCTATATTTTCATGTATCTTTATAGCAACACCCCACTCCCTGGTACCAATTTTCTGTCTTAGTCCATTTTATGTTGCTATTGAAGAATACCTGAGACTGAGTAATTTATTAAAAAAAAAGAAGCTGATTTTGACTATCGTTCTGAAGGCTGAGAAGTATGAGAAACATGGGGCCAGCATCTGTTTGACTTCTGGTGAGGGACAAATGCTAGCTCAAAACATGGTGGAGAAGGTCAAAGGTGGAGCAAAACCTGAAGGATGTACTGGCTTTATAACAACCCACTCTCCCAGAAATGAATTAATTCCTCCAAGAGGTAGTTCAGACTTGCCAGGGTGAGGACTCGCTCACTAACACAAGAATAGCACCAAGCCATTCATGAAGGGTCTGCCTCCATGACCCAAACATCTCCCACTAGGCCTGACCTCCCAACAACACCATATTGGGGATCAAATTTCAACATAAGCTTTGGTGGGGGCAAAATAAACCAAATTCAAACTATAATATATCTATTAAGAATTCACTCAAGAATGGACCTGCAGGGGTGCAGGATATGGATATGTTTAGCTTTAGTCACAGCTACCACACACAACATGGTGGATATATGTGTTTTTTTGCTTGCTCACTTGTTGTATTTATTTTTGTTCATTGTCTTTTCCACACTGGAATGCAAATTTCTCAAGTGCAATTGCTTTGTTTGTCTTGGTCACAGCTATAAAGCATGAATGAATGAATGAGGAAGCTGTATCTGAAGAATATAGTGTTCTATCAATCACATTTCTTGAAATTCTGCCATCTAGTCTATTAATTAGAATTATTATCCTACAGAATTTTCTTGCTTCCCTGAAACTTACTGTTCTTACATGTAAACTATGACTCATAACAAGTTCTGCTTCCTTTGTTATGAAGTTGTTAAAGGATGATGAACCTGGCAAGGCACATAAATTTTTAAGTTTTAGATAGAGATTGATGAATATGATTATGATTATGACCATGATGATGTTTGTATAATGATAACCCCACATGGTGAATTATAATTTTGAGAAAGTCACCCTTTTGATGATGAGTGAACTCTTTATATAATTGGGATACTAACCATGTATCGGCACATGCTTTCTTTCCTCAATTCCTGGATCCATATGGAACATGAATATTAACTATGCCCTAATACTATTACATGGCTGATATATGCTTAATCTTGATGATCTCATGAGATATTTGAAAAGCATTTTACTGCCTTCCTAACCCATCCCCCTGTATGTTTCTCCAGTGTTTTAGAAACCCCGTTACCCCTCAGATATGCAGTGTTCTCATGATGTCTTTTCTGGGCAATGTCCTTTGCTTTCATCCATTTATTTTAAGTTATCTGACAAATAGTTTTCACTAATGTGTTGCAAAATAAAAAAAGATAAATACCGTACTTTTACTGAAAGTAATAAGCACCTGATTGTAGTGAGTACAATACCTGTTTAAGAAGACTATGTTCAATGACTCTTTCTACCAGCTTGCAGATGGAAACACATTTTTGTGTTTATGGAGCCCTCTTGTATTTATTTAGAATACATGTGAACATGGCAGGAGAAACGGAAGGTATAAGAAAAAAAGAAAAGAGAAGGAAAAGAGATCAAGAGGACGTTTTTTTACATTAGTTTTTTTTTCCCACCAAGTTGAACGCTCTTTGAGGAAAAAAACACATGAAACTGTTTTTCCTCTGCTTCCACACCACACAACAACCAACATATAAGATGTATGGGACCAAATGAGTGGGGGATTTTTGATACACACGAAGTAAACAATCATTTCTGCAGTGGACACCACTTGGTGTCCTCCAAATCAATTCCATTCGGCCACTATCTACAGTCAAATGCGCTAGCCCAAGCTAAACTCCTATGACCATCTGCCACTATCTACAGTCAAATGCGCTAGCCCAAGCTAAACTCCCGTGACCATCGGCCACTATCTACAGTCAAATGCGCTAGTCCAAGCTAAACTCCCGTGACCATCTGCCACTATCTACAGTCAAATGCTCTAGCCCAAGCTAAACTCCCGTGACCATCTGCCACTATCTACAGTCAAATGCTCTAGCCCAAGCTAAACTCCCGTGACCATCTGCCACTATCTACAGTCAAATGCTCTAGCCCAAGCTAAACTCCCGTGACCATCTGCCACTATCTACAGTCAAATGCTCTAGCCCAAGCTAAACTCCCGTGACCATCTGCCACTATCTACAGTCAAATGCTCTAGCCCAAGCTAAACTCCCGTGACCATCTGCCACTATCTACAGTCAAATGCGCTAGCCCAAGCTAAACTCCCGTGACCATCTGCCACTATCTACAGTCAAATGCGCTAGCCCAAGCTAAACTCCCGTGACCATCTGCCACTATCTACAGTCAAATGCTCTAGCCCAAGCTAAACTCCCGTGACCATCTGCCACTATCTACAGTCAAATGCTCTAGCCCTAGCTAAACTCCCGTGACCATCTGCCACTATCTACAGTCAAATGCGCTAGCCCAAGCTAAACTCCCGTGACCATCTGCCACTATCTACAGTCAAATGCGCTAGCCCAAGCTAAACTCCCGTGACCATCTGCCACTATCTACAGTCAAATGCTCTAGCCCAAGCTAAACTCCCGTGACCATCTGCCACTATCTACAGTCAAATGCGCTAGCCCAAGCTAAACTCCCGTGACCATCTGCCACTATCTACAGTCAAATGCGCTAGCCCAAGCTAAACTCCCGTGACCATCTGCCACTATCTACAGTCAAATGCTCTAGCCCAAGCTAAACTCCCGTGACCATCTGCCACTATCTACAGTCAAATGCGCTAGCCCAAGCTAAACTCCCGTGACCATCTGCCACTATCTACAGTCAAATGCTCTAGCCCAAGCTAAACTCCCATGACCATCTGCCACTATCTATCTGGAGATAGTGTCAGATCCCACAGGGTGAGGGCTCAGTCCCATAACACTGCCTTCCATTTCCAGTGCCAATTAAAAGCCCCAAGTTGTCCTGTACTTTTGACCAAGTGATTGTAAATTGGGGATCCCACGGCCCTTCCTTGGGTTCAGTTAGTTTACTATAAAGGCTCACAGAATTCAAGGAAACACTTACCTATGTTTACCACTTGTTATAAATGATATTACAAAGGATACACAGAAACAGTCAGATGAAAAGACACAGAGGGTGAGGTCTGGAAGAGCATAAGAGCTTCTGCCTCTGTGGAGTTGGGACATGCCACCCTCCAGGCACATGGATGGGTTCTTATCACCCTCCTGTTCAGCTTCATGAGTTTAGCTGTCCAGAAGTTTTCTGTCCTCTCCTTTTGGCCCTTATATGGAGACTTTATTGAATAGTCATGATTGAAGCATGGACAATTGCACAGAAATATGATTGAACAAAGAGTATGACCTAATGTTGATAGAGTGAGTGGGGACACCCACGAAGGCCTGTCTGATCGGATTTTTCTTGGCCTCTCTGTATAGCATTCCCTCCCCCAGGGTATGAGAGAAGACCTCTTTTGAAACAGAGGTCTTATGACATACAGTCAGACAAGGTAGTCAGATAATTTCTTTGTGACCAAAAGCGGGGAAAGATTGGATTATATTTTTAGTTTCTAAGGCTTTCTTTGGGGAGAAAAAGAAGCAGGTGAAAAGAGGGAAGGCGAAGATCACAGAGAGAGATTCAGTTTTCTGAGGCCTAAAAAACCACAACATCATAACTATGGAGTTATGAACCAGAAACCCTAGCCAAAAAACCAATATTGTAATCATATGACTCCCTCCCTTTTTGCTTCATCTTTTGATGAAAGCACAGCCACAGTGACCACAGAGTCCCCCATTTACCATATGCATGGGAAGGAGTCGACTGTCAAAAGACACCTCCTGACACCCTTTGAGGACCCTTGAACCTCCCCAAGGCCCTCTTCAGAGCTCCAGTCACATCCTTGTTTCTAAGGCTGTAGATGAGGGGGTTCAGCATGGGTGTGAGAATGGTGTAAAACACAGAGAGGACTTTGTCCTGGGCTGGCTTGTGGTAAGAATGTGGCAGCATGTAGGTGTACATGGCAGCCCCGTAGAACAAGGACACCACAGTCATGTGGGATGAGCAAGTGGCAAATGCCTTCTTCCTGCCCTCCACTGAGCTCATGCACTGAACTGTAGTCAGGATTCGGGCATAGGAAGCAAGGACTACAGAGAAAGGAATCAGCAGCATCAAAACACAGCACACATACATCACTGTCTCGTAGAGGGCTGTGTCTGCACATGCCAACTTCAGGACTGCTGGTGCCTCACAGAAGAAGTGGTTAATCTCCCGGGAATTGCAGAAGGGAAAGCTCATGGTGATGGGGGTTAGGAGGAAGCCATCCAAAGAGCCCCCAAACCAGGAACCTGCTATAATCATCCAACAGACCCGGCGGCTCATGAGGACAGGGTATCTCAGAGGGTTGCAAATGGCCACATAGCGGTCATAGGCCATGAGGCCCAGCAGGAAGAATTCAGCTCCCACAAGGGTAAGGTAGAGGAAGTGTTGAGCTGTGCACCCCACAAAGGAAATGGTCCTTTGATCCAGCAGGTAATTAACCAGCATCTTAGGCACAATAGTGGAAATATACATCATGTCAATTAAGGAAAGGTGGCTGAGGAGGAAGTACATGGGTGTATGAAGGCGCAAATCTGTTTGGATCAGGAAGATCATAACCCCATTGGCCATCAGTGCGGTGAAGAAGATGATAGAGATGATGGCAAAAATAAGACCTGAGGTTTCCTTTCTGTTGAACAGCCCCATGAAAGTGAAGTCTGTAGAGGATGTGTTGTACTCTTCCATTGATCCTACAGTTGTGCCGATATAAGGTAATATCTTCCAAATAAGATGATAGCATTCCCAGGGCAGTAAAATAACAACATGTGAATTAATTGTTAGGCAGCAAACTTTTAAAAGTGGGAAGAAAACATTTAAAAAATAGTATTCTTGCCACATTGAGACTGATATCTAGCATTTACTCTATTCCAGAAGGTTTTTAAATAAAATTGGTCATTATTAATCAATAATTGCTTAAATACATTGGAGAAGATGAGGTCAGCAGATGATACTGTATTACGATGATGTGCATAACAATGCCTAAGGTTGCATACCATGCTACACAGCAGTTACGCATACCATGGTCCGGTGTATGCGTGTGTGTATTACCTTAGATGCATTTAAATTTGTATTATTATTTAATGTGTCTTTGTATGGTTGGCATCACCACTACTTTCAAAACATCTTTGGTGCTGGCTGTGAGTAGCTCATGTCTTCCATTTAGCTACAAGTACGGGTTATCTACCATTTGGGTCACAAGTCACTGTCTACATCATGAGAGTATACTTGGTGTTAGTTTATCCATGTCCCAGACAAATTATAAGGGATGAAATAAAAAGGGCAACAGAAACTCAACGGAAACTACTCTTGCAAATTTAGACATAAAAATTATTCTCAATACAAGAGGCATTCAGTGTTGTAGAATTTTATTTATTTTCAATTTTAAGATGATGAGGAATTAGCATTAGGATTATGATTAGCATGACCATTAGAAATCAGTATTAGCAATTAATATTCAGAGGAAATACCACAGGGACGTAAACATTGAGCTATAATTCACTGATTATTTTTGGAAATTAGAATTTTTCATAGTTCTTCATAATTAAGAAAAACTGAGTGTGTTTTATACAATTTCAGGTTACAATAAAGAAACAAATATCCACAACAAACTTCATGGAAGTAAAGGATGATTTTTCACATTGTTTAAGGCTAAAAGTGTCCCAAGAAAGACATTTTACCAACATATTTGGGAGTAAAATTGATCAAACTAGTCTAGTGCTCCTCTAAATATTCTAAAAATATTAGCATTTGAGTCAATTGCCCAGAAAAAGAAGTTGCTATTGAGAATAATGATGATGACATCGTGGAGTTTATTTTGCAAAGTGTCATGCTAAGAAGTACTTTGTAACTATTGACTCCCTGATCTTCACAATAAAACTAAGAAGTGAGGAGCTATAAAAGCCCCTCTCACCAATGACAGCATTGAGGGTAACGTGTTGGTGGTCACGGGGTCTGTTAGTGCCAGGAGTGTTTGGACTAGATAGTCTCAATTCATTATATATTCATACACATGGCATTGTGTATATAGGAAGCTTTATATGGGAATAGCAGCTAGACATTTACTGTAATTAGCAAATAAAATGTACCAAGCATGTGAACCTGCTAAATTGTTAACAATGTAATAACTAATGTGACTAATGAAAATTAGTCATACTTGAGAGTAGATCACATAAATTATTATAATCAGGATTGCTGTTTTATGGATATAAACTATGTGTACAGATATACACACATATATAAAAATGTACACATAGATACATCATATGTATATTTTATATATATATATAATGTATATTTTGCTAATTCAGAATATTTGGTGTCAGGTTTTATACATTTTTATGATACTATGTACAATGTCATCATTACTTACAACCTCCCTCATTTTACTTTTTTTAGGTTTCATTAATGGAACCTATAAAAATATATTTCTAAAGGGAAACTCCTCTCCAGTTTATGTCGCAGCCTAAATATTAGCAGTATTTCAGCTACTTCCACACTTCCTACATTTTCGGTTTGACTTTTATCATGCGATAAGACACCAGAAACAGAGGGAAAATCATGTGCTGCTTCACAAAGTCAAACAGTGGTCTCTGCTGTCTGTTCACCCTTACTCCCATTTTATACACACACACACACACGTATATGTAATAGCACAGGGACATACATATTGAGGTATAACTCACCGATGATTTTTGGAAATTGGAATTTTTCCGTAGCTCTGGCAATTAAGAAAAACTGAGGGACTGTTTTATACAATTTCAGGTTACAGTAAAATCCACAACAAACTTCAAGAATATAAAGGATGATCTTTTATCCATTATATATATATATATAAGTATATACATTCATAATTTCCTCCCATAGATTTATATATGTATATATGTAACTCTTCTGTGGTTCTAGCTTTTTCTATGGCCAGCTAGCCCTGCAAACCTAGCAATGCAAAGGGAAATTCTAAAGTCTACTCCATTTTGCAGCCAAGTGGCCTTACTTTTCCTATCTGCATACAAAAGATCTAATTTATCAGAGAACAAGCCCTCCTCAAAGTAAATTATGATTTTAAGTAAAATGTTTTGTTAAATTTATTATCTGCTCTCTCACTAGAGTGAGCACAATAAGTAACTATACTTGTTGAATATCTCCTGGGCATAGATCATACAGCTTTGCTATGGTTTAGTACACATAAAAATAATCAGAAAATGTTTGGAATGATTCTGTGACTTTATATAGGCATTTGTTTCTGAAATGATGAAGGCAACATACAGTAAAACAAAATTTAGAATTAAATGAATTGAGTTCTTCCTCTGGTCACGACATTAATTAATTCTGTGACCTTGGATTATCTTCCTAAACACCCTGAGCCTCAGTATCTGCTTATATTAATTGATATAATAAACATTCAGGGTTACTTTAAGAATCAAATAAGAAATTTATAGTTACAGGTGCAAATATTTTATACAATACCAAGTAAAATGTAAGATATCTGCAAATTATTTCAAAACTATTGGTAAATGGGTGCAAATTCTCAATCTCTCATTTAAGCAATCTACATATTCAACTAAAATCTATGAATTTAAATTGCAAATACCTCCTGATCTTCAGAAAAGGTCTGTAAACCCAGGTGCTCCCAGTGAAGTTACATCAGCAGTTAAAGTCTATCTTTTCCCCCAAGTATCCTTTGACTTGAAAGGATTGTTACTTAGTAGAAATTCTCAGAAAAAACTGTGCATTTCAATTAAGCTTGCAGAACATCTAAATGCCTTTGAAGAGCAGAAGTATGCTTGGCCTGCAAATTTTGAGAAAATTATTTTTAAAAAGTTAGTGGATAAAATAGACATAATTTTATTGGATAAAATTGTCTTTTAGGCCTACCTAAACTATTTTTTATTGCATAATACCGTACACCAAGAGATAAATCAATGCATTTATGTTATCCTGACATTTGTAAATATTCTGTACTATTTTATAAGGCGTGCATGTTGGTTGAGTAGGGATGGCCGCAAATATTTTCCTCCCACATCACTACAGTTTGAAGGTAGGACACAATGCTTGCCCAGGACTGTGATGATCTCCAAGCCCATCCTTTAAATCAAGTGACAAGATAATTCCTAACTTGTAAGTTGCAGCCTTTGCTTGCTTCCCTATGACCACTGGTGAAGTTTCTGCCAAAGAAAAGAGCAAGCTCCATGCTCCTTCAATGCAGCAGCCTTGTTAGGAAGCTCTGCATTAGCTTAAATTAAAGCTGCTTCATGCAGGATTCTTCCTTGCCTTCTGAATCTGCTTGGAACCAGTTTTCTCTCTTTGCAACATTCAACATTTCATAATGTGAATATGACTACAAGGTTTTCTGTCCTCCTTCTCTATACCGGTCACACTTCTCCAGTTATTTTATGCATTCATGTATGAATTTTTTTCCAAAGTGCTCAACTTCCAGGTATTTACTGGGGATAGCTTTTGCAATGTCTATTTTAGAATATAATACCTCAATTTCAACAGATTACTGTAGGTGTGGTTTTTCCTGTACAGAATACACTGGCAATATTACTTTTCTGTTGTTATCGCAGACACATTGAGTCATTACATACACATTCAAACTTACAGTTACCTTTTCACATGAGAAGTTCTCAAGACAGGTCAATACAGTGCTGTGCAATTTTGAGACTAAATACAAAAATATATGTTCCTAGTTTTTCTCCGTGTTCCTAAATTCTGTTTAGTATTTCAAAAAGTTGGAATCATTAAGAATGAACTCATATTGAAATAATAATCATACAATTATTAGATAATAAAGCACTAATGTACTCTGACAATTTTAGAGTAACTTAGAACCACATTCTTCAACCCACACACACCTCCTACAAGACCCATAAAGAGACTACACACTAGAATAAACCCCTCTACTAGAGAGACCTGTTATTTCTGATGAGAGTTTATTTTATGCTTGGTGTGATGGACACTAAAAAAATGCCTGTGAATCACTGGCAAAGTGGATCTGAGAAATCCAGGTGTCTGCACATTCTTTGAAATCATTGTGGAAAAAAGGATTTTTAAAATGCTTGCACGTTTGACAGTCAGGCAACGAGTCTATGTTGGAAATTAGAATGCCTGTAGGAGTCTGCCTTACGTCAGCTCTGTGTCTTTAATGCAAGCATCTTCAACTCTCCAATCATCAGTGTTCTTATCTGTAAAACGAGGGGAAGGAGATAAAGACAATGCACTGTTCAGAGATTCAGGAAGCCTGGTTCATAGTCTGTACTTTAGAAACTAGGAGTAAGTACAGGTTTTTCCTTTAGATCTTTTGTGCCTTTCGAACAGTATTGTCCTTATCCTATCTAATTCATAAGACTAAAGTTTGCTTAAATTATTTTTTTAAGAAAAGCAGCAAACATTTAAGAAAAGATTCTTTGCACTGTTACACTCAATGGCATCCTTCTACCTGAGATTTACAACACTCACTCCATGTAATTCCCACAGATAATCAGACAGGCACTCTTTTTCTCAATGCACTTGCATTTGGCATGGAGGGAATGGGACAGTCATTCCTCATTATACTTGTGCCTGAGATTTCCAGCCCAGGAGTTGCAGACAACTCTGCCTCAACTTTCTTAGATCCAGTTTACGTAAATCTTGTTTATGTCATATAAAGAACGTAAATTCAGTCAGACCACAATGAAATGTTCTGGCAACCCGGTCATTTGCATATGCACCAAATATTTAAAGTGCTACTATGAGGAGGAGTCAGTCTAGGTGCTCATCAGCATTTGACTTCTTACCTGTGAAATTCCTGCATAATTCCAAAAGACCTGGATTTTCATTAAGGGAATAGGAAGAGTGGAACAAACAAAGTGAGTCTAAGTACAGCAGAAGCTCCTAGATGATCCATTTTAATTGCCTAATTTTACTGAGGGATGTTGCATCATTTAGACAAAACCTTAACTATTAAATCCAATTATTTAATTTTCAAAGAGCTTCATAAAGTAATGTATTCATGTGTTCTATATGTTCTCACATTTCTCATATCTCCTCTCATCCATGCAATCTGAATGCCACCCACTCAAAACAGCATGTGACACACATCACTAAGTAGACATCAAGGAATACAATATACATAATTTTCATAAAAATTATCCAAATATCTAATTTTATTCCAAACTGTATTCCAACAAAAGATGATTATCTGTCACTTACAGAGAGCTGAATCTGTCAGGATAGCCATTCAGAGTAGTAGATAGAGAAGGTTATGTATAATTTAGTAAATCAAAAACTTACTGGCAAACTACAACAACTTTATGTAACTAAACAAGCGATGAAGAACTAAGACTTTTTAGAAGGTTGAAGGTGATATTTTGCTAGAAGGAAAAATGATTAGATTTAGTAGACTTAAATTCTCATCTAACTTATACCAAGAAGAAAACACACAAAGCAATTCATAGTCATTGGTACCCACAACAGGAAATCCTTCAACATCTAGGCCATCTGGATGCCAAAGTGCTGTCAGCATGTTACCCTGAAGATCCAGTATGCATAGATTTCTAATTTGGATTTATGAACTTGGCATGACTGAAGGTATCCTTAGCAACTGATGATGGAGTTAGGACAAAGAGAGACATGCAACAAGTTTATTAGGAGCTATTTTTGTAATATAACTCTGCAGAAGGAAGTATTATTAAGCCAAACAAATAAATGCCACCTTAGAAATCCTTGAAACAATTTGCATTGCCAGGACAAATTGCATAAATTCTCCAGCCTTCTAGAAACATGTAATAATGTCTATTTCTTATCTTTACAGGGAAATATTTAGCAACTAAACAGGTCTGAAAAACTAAAAATGCAGGAAGAAAGCAGCAGACCAGTAAAGAGTGCCGAATTATTCTGGGTGTTCTGCTTTTGAGATCCCTGGAGCGACAAGGGAGCGCCCAGATTGAAAAGAGGCATGAGTTTAAATAGTTTTCTTTGAGGGACATGGAATGAAGTGCTCTGGGAAAGAGCAAGTTTCTTCCTTTTGGATCTCAGGAGACTTTAATGAGACGGACTTATTACAGCTAATGAGAAGTGTATTGATGGGGTGGAAAACAGTGAACATTTAAGTGACATGGGCTTTGAGAACATGTTTCAACTCCTGTGCTTCAAAGTGTAAAACTGATTTCCTGAGTGTTTCATCAGAAAGTTCTGCCAGCAGCTCTTCCTCACAGAGAAATGTGGGAACAAATGTGGAAAGCCATTAAAAAGATAAAAAGTAGCTTTATTTCTATTATATTTTAATAACATAACATCTGTTATGTTTGTTGGTAGTTTAATAATTATTATTTTATTTGAGCATAAAGGTAACGCATACCCATCGGGAAAAACATAATACCAGATAGGGTTATCGAAAACACATCATAGAGATGATTATCCTTACAAAATTGCATTTATACTGTATGTGTTTGTTTGTGTGTATGTTCGTGGGTATGTGTGTGTATGTACCAGTAAACTACAAGAGCTTTATGTAACTAAACAAGAGGTAGAGAACCAACAGAGAGACACATGCAGAAACTTAAACACTATAAATAGATATGGCATTTACACAACAACATATATGTGTGTGTGATGAGTGTCTGTGGGTTAACATGTAATTCCACAATTTGCATTGTTCACAAAATACAACATAAAAAGTGCCCCGATGTGAAATATTCTCCCAAACGTAGCATGCACTATCCACAAAGTACTATACTTTATGGATATGCTCAATATTATTTAATTAATGCTCCATTTTTATAACATACATACAGTTTTAATTCAGGGGACTAAAAAATAATGTGCTGATTAAATCCTTATGTCTAATTTGAGTATAGATTTTGGAAGTTTTCTTCATCGACTTTTCCTCAGTCAATATTATTTAATTCATTTGTGTGAATATTTTTAAAGTTTTGATTTTGTTAAGTTGCACCTCAAAAATATTATCATTTTTTATATTATCAATTCACATCTATATATCAATCATTTCATCTATCTATAAATAAATAAACACAAACACACAGATCTGGAAATTCTGATGTAAAAGGACTAGATTTAATGTTTTCTGTTGTTTTTCCTAGAAAGGTTAATTAATTTTTTTAACTTCAACTTTTTTTTTTTTTTTTTTTGAGACAAGAGTCTCACTCTGTCTTGCCCAGGCTGGAGTGCAGTGGCATGATCTTGGCTCACTGCAGCCTCCACCTCCAGGGTTCAAGTGATTTTCCTGTCTCAGCCTCCCGAGTAGCTGGGACTACAGGCATACACCACCACGCCTGGCTAATCTTGTATTTTCAGTAGTGATGGGGTTTCACCATGTTGGACAGGCTGGCCTCGAGCTCCTGACCTCAGGTGATCCATATGCCTTGGCCTCCCAAAGTGTGGGAATTACAGGCATGCACCACTGCACTCGGCCAACTTTTATATTTTTACTATTCATTTATTTAACTTCTTTTGAAAAAATCATTTTATTTATTTATTTATTCATTCCACTTTATTTGAGATTCATGGCGTACATGTGCCTGAGTGTATTGTGTGATGCTGAGGTTTGGATTATAAATGATCCCATCACTCAAGTAGTGAGCATGGTACCCAGCAGTTTTTCAACACCTACCCCCTCCCTTCCTCCCACCTCTAGGATGTAATGGTTGCCATCTTTGTGGCCAGGTGTTCAATGTTTAGCTCCCATCTGTGAGTAGGAACATCCAGTATTTGGCTTTCTGTTCCTGTGGTAATTCACGTGGGATGATGGCTTCTGGCTCTATCCATATTGCTGCAAAGGACAGGATTTCATACTTTTTTAATGGCTTCATAGTATTTCGTGGTGTATATGTGCCACATTTTCTTTTTTTTTTTTTTTTTTGCCACATTTTCTTTATCCAATCTACCATTGATGGGCAACTAGGTTGATTCCATGTCTTGCTATTGTGAATAGCATGGTGTTGAATATATAAGTACATGGGTCTTTTTGGCATAATGATCTATTTTTCTTTGGGTATATACCCAGTAATGGGATTACTGGGTCAAATGGTAGCTCTGTTTTAAGTTCTTTGAAAAACCTACAAACTGTTTTCTACATTGGCTGAATTGATTTACATTCCCACCAACAGTGTATAAACATTACCTTTTCTCCACAACCTCAGCAGCATCTGTTGTTTTTGGCTTTTTAATAATGACCATTTTGACTGGTATGAGATGGTATCTCATTGTGATTTGATTTGCATTTCTATGATGATTAGTGATGTTGAACATTTTTTCATGTTTGTGGCCAATTATATGTGTTATTTTGAGAAGTGTTTATTCATGGTATTGGCCACTTTTTAATGGCGGTGTTTGTTTTTGCTTGTTGAATTATTTAAGTTCCTTATATACTGCAGATCTTAGACCATTTTGGCATACACAGTTTGTGAATATTTTATCCCTTTCTTTTTTGGATTAAACGAATTTTTAAAATTATACTTTAAGTTCTGGGGTACATGTGCAGAATGTGCAGGTTTGTTACATAAGTATACATATGCCATGGTGGTTTGCTGCACCCATCAACCCATCATCTACATTAAGTATTTCTCCTGATGCTCTCTCTCCCCTTGCCCCCCACACTTCAACAGGCCCCAGTGTGTGATGTTCCACTCCCTGTGCCCATATGTTCTCATTGTTCAACTTCCACTTATGAGTGGGAACATGTGGCATTTGGTTTTCTGTTCCTGTGTTAGTGTGCTGAGAATGATGGTTTCCAACTTCATCCATGTCCCTGCAAAGGACATTGACTCATTTTTTTAAATGGCTACATAGTATTCCATGGCATATATCTGCCACATTTTCTTTATCTAGTCTGACATTGACAGGCATTTGTGTTGGTTCCAAGTCTTTGCTATTGTGAATAGTACTGCAATAAACATACGTGTGCATGTGTCCTTATAGTAGAATGATTTATAATCCTTTGGGTATATACCCAGTAATGAGATTGCTGGGTCAAATGGTATTTCTAGTCCTAGATCCTTGAGGAATTGCCACACTGTCTTCCACAATGGTTGAACTAATTTACATTCCCACCAACAGTGTAAAAGTGTTCCTATTTCTCCATATCCTCTCCAGCATCTGTTGTGTCCTGACTTTTTGATGATTACCATTCTAACTGGTGTGAGATGGTATCTCACAGTGGTTTTGATTTGCATTTCTCTAATGACCAGTGATGATGAGCATTTTATTATATGTTTGTTGGCCATATAAATGTCTTCTTTTGAAAAGTGTCCGTTCATATCCTTTGCCCACTTTCTGATGGGGTTGTTTGTTTTTCTCTTGTACATTTGTTTAAGTTCCTTGTAGATTCTGGATATTAGCCCTTTGTCAGATGGATAGATTGCAAACATTTTCTCCCATTCTATTGGTTGCCTGTTCACTCTCAGGATAGTTTCTTTTGCTGTGCAGAAGCTCTTTAATTTAATTAGATCCCATTTGTCAATTTTTGCTTTTGTTGCAATTGGTTTTGGTGTTTTAGTCATGAAGTGTTTGCTCACGCCTATGTCCTAAATGGTATTGCCTAGGTTTTCTTCTAAGGTTTTTATGGTTTTAGGTCTTACATTTAAATCTGTAATTCATCTTGAGTTAATTTTTGTATAAGGTGTAAGGAAGGGATCCAGTTTCAATTTTCTGCATATGGCTAGCTAGTTTTCCTAACACCATTTATTAAATAGGGAATCCTTTCTCTATTGCTTGTTTCTGTCAGATTTGTCAAAGATTAGATGATTGAGCAACCCCAAGACATGTAATTGTCAGAGTCTCCAAGGTTGAAATGAAGGAAAAAATGTTAAGGGCAGCCAGAGAGAAAGATCGGGTTACCCACAAAAGGAAGCCCATCAGACTAGGAGTGGATCTCTCTGCAGAAACCCTACAAACCAGAAGAGAGTGTGGGTCAATATTCAACATTCTTAAATCAAAAAATTTTCAACCCAGAATTTCATATCCAGCCAAACTAAGCTTCATATGTGAAGGAGAAATAAAATCCTTTACAGACAAGCAAATGCTGAGAGATTTTGTCACTACCACGCCGGCCTTACAAGAGCTCCTGAAGGAAGCACTAAATATGAAAAAGAAAAACCTGTACCAGCCACTGCCCAAACAAACAAAAATGTAAAGGCCATTGACACTATGAAGAAACTGCATTAACTAATGGGCAAAATAACCAGCTTACATCATAATGACAGGATCAAATTCACACATAACAATATTAACCTTAAATGTAAATGGGCTAAATGCCCCAATTAAAAGGCCCAGACTGGCAAATTGGATAGAGTAAAGACCCATCAGTGTGCTGTATTCAGGAGACCCATCTCATGTGCAAAGACATACATAGGCTCAAAATAAATGGATGGAGGAAGATTTACCAAGCAAATGGAAAGCAAAAAAAAAAAAAAAAAAAAAAAATTCAGGGTTTACAATCCTAGTCTCTGATTAAACAGACTTCAAACCAACAAAGATCAAAAAAGACAAAGAAGGACATTACATAATGGTAAAGGGATCAATGCAATAAGCAGAGCTAACCATCCTAAATATATATGCACCCAATACAGGAGCACTCTGATTCATAAAGCAAGTTCTTAGAGACCTACAAAGAGACTTAAACTCCCACACAATAATAGTGGGAGACTTTAACACCCCACTGTCAATATTAGACAGATCAATGAGATAGAAAATTAACAAGGATATTCAGGACTTGCACTTAGCTCTGGACCAAGCAGACCTAATAGACATTTACAGAACTCTCCACCCCAAATCAACAGAATATACATTCTTCTCAGCACCACATAACACTTACTCTAAAATCAACCACATAATTGGAAGTAAAACACTCCTCAGCAAATGCAAAAGAATGAAAATCGTAACAGTCTCTCAGACCACAGTGCAATCAGATTAGAACTCAGGATTACAAAACTCACTCAAAACCACACAACCACATGGAAACTGAACAACCTGCTTCTGAATGACCACTGGGTAATTAATGAAATAAAGGCAGAAATAAGTAAGTTATTTGAAACCAATGCGAACAAAGACACAATGTACCAGAATCTCTGGAACACAGCTAAAGCAGTGTTTAGAGGTAAATTTATAGCACTAAATGCCCACAGGAGAAAGTGGGAAAGATATAAAATTGACACCCTAACATCACAATTAAAAGAACTAGAGAAGCAGGAGCAAACAAATTCAAAAGCTAGCAGAAGACAAGAAATAACTAAGATCAGAGCAGAATTGAAGGAGATAGAGACACAAAAAATCCCTTCAAAAATTCAGTGAATCCAGGAGCTGGTTTTTTGAAAAGATTAACAAAACAGATAGAATGCTAGGCAGACTAATAAAGAAGAAAAGAGAGAAGAATCAAATAGACACAGTAAAATATGATAAAGGGAATATCACCACTGATCTCACAGAAGTACAAACTACCATCAGAGAATACTATAAACATCTCTATGCAAATAAACTAGAAAATCTATTTTATCCCTTTCTATAGGTTGTTTGCTTACCCAGTTGATAGTTTCTTTTGCTGTGCAAAAGCTCTTTAGTTTAATTAGGTCCCTCTTGTCAATTTTTGTTTTGCTTGCAATTGCTTTTGAGGATTTAGTCATACATTATTTCCCATGGCCAATGTTCAGAATGGGGTTTTGTAGGCTTCCTTCTAGGCTTCTTAGTTTGAGTTATTACATTTAAATCTTTATTTCATCATGATTTAATTTTTGTATATAGTGAAAGGCAGGGGTCCACTTTCATTCTTCTGCATATGGCTATCCAGCTATTACAGCACCATTTATTAGGTAGGGAGTCCTTTCCCCATTGCTTGCTTTTGTCAACTTTGTCAAAGATAAACAGGGTGGAGGTCTGTGGCTTTATTTATTTGTTCTCTATTTGATTCAATTTGGTCTATGTGTCTGTTTTTATACCAGTACCATCTGCTTTGGTTACTGGAACATTATAGTATAGTTTGAAGCCAGGTATTGTGATATCTTTAGCATTATTCTTTTTGCTTAGGGTTACTTTGGCTTTTTGGTCTCTTTTTTTGTTTCATCTTAATTTTATAATAGTTGCCTCTAATTCTGTGAAAAATAAAGTCTGTAGTTTTTTCTGAATAACATTAAATCTGTAGATTTCCTTGGGCCACTTTAATGAGATTAATTCTTCCAACCAGTGAGCATGGAATGTTTATCTGTTTGTTTGAGTCTTATTTACTTTCTTTCAGCAGTGTTTTGTGGTTCTCCTAGCAGAGATCTTTCACCTCTGTGGCTAACTGCATTCCTAGATTTTTTATTTTTGTGGCTGTTGTAAATTGAATTGAGTTCTTGATTTGGATCTCAGCTTGAATGTTTTTGGTGTTTAGAAATGTCACTGAATTTTGTATATTAATTTTGTATCCTGAGTCTTTACTTGAAGTTGTTTCTCAGTTCCAGGAATCTTTTGGCAAAGTCTTTTGGTTTTTGGGGGGTATTGAATCATATTATCAGCAAACAGACATAGTTTGCCTTCTTCTTTTCCTTATTTAGATGCTTTTTATTTCTTCTTGCTGTGCAACTGCTATGCTATAAACCATTAGATGGCACTTGGGGGTAAGAGCTGACTACAGCCAATGTGGCACCCCACGTCCTAGAACTCATCCCGAGGCACCCACCTGTGTCCATCCTGGCTAATTAGTTTACATCACTCTTCCCACAGGGCCTACATGTGACCTCAGAAAAATCCTCAGCACAGCAATCCAAAAACCTAGCAGTGATCTTTGCAACTAGCATGTACCAAAAACTCATCAGTTTGACAAAACTACCTTGAATTCTTCTCCTGCATTAATAATTCTTCACATTTCATTTGAGCATCATTGTGAATGCCTGATGCTTGTCAGGCTGAATATCTCTGGATAGGTCCTAGAAGGCGCCAGACTCCTGTTGCTCTATGGTCCCCAATCATTCCACCTACACTCCTTCCCATGCACAGTCCTGCATTTTTTAATGTAAAACCATTGACTTCTTGAGAACATCAATTCATATCAAAAATCACTCTGTGCTACACAACGCCTACATATTTCTAAAGTCTAGTAATAAAATGACATATATTTATGACATTATGAATTTCAGAATAGTGACAAAAACCTTTAGAAATGTTGCTCACGTTCTTCCTCAAGTTTCCAAAAGGGTTGTGCATGACTTGATAGTTGCCGTGTTAATTTTGTTCTGAGGGAATCAACAACCATATCTAGGAGAGTATTCCCTATTCACTTAAGTAGAAACTCAGGCTAAGGCAACAGAGTCATCCAAATGGTAGACTGAGTTACTAGGAGAGCTAAAAGAAAAATTAATCTCTCTTCTAGCCATTACTAATTCTTCTTTGAGCACAAATTATGCATTTTGCTAGCTGGTTCCAACCAGGGGAAGCACATGTTTCTAAGAGGTTTCCCGCAGAGTCAGGCTGAGTTTTGAACTGATTTTCCTGCAGGGATGGCCAAATGGCCCACAAGTGGCTTCACATTCCATCAAAGGCTGAATATCTGAACTCGAGATGAAATTCCCAATGATGGGTCATGAATAATCAAATTCTTTAAAAAAAATTCACTCACTCTAAAAAGGCCTTCTCCTGAAGCAGCATCCCTCTTTTAATAGGTTTTGGTTTTCTGGTGTGAGGTAATATAGACATTTCCCCCCCTCTTCCATATACAGATGATGCATTTCCAGTATTTTCTTATATATGCAGAACAGGGAAGGAATGCTAACTTGGAATGAGGGGCTCCTACCATATGCCCCAAGCATAAAACTAATTAATATTTGGCCCATGTTCTTCTAACTTTCCAGGAAATATTAGCCTCACTGCTCCCGCGTCTTCAAAACAACATATAACCAAACTCCCAAAACAAGACCAATTAGATTAACAAACTTTTATTATTTCATCCCCATCCCCCATCCTAACTTCTACAAACACCACAATTCTTTGATGAGAACTCCTAATGATTTATTGACTGAAATCCAATCAAGAAATATAGTATCAGAGAGTTATATAATTGTTAGAAAACTGTTTTAAAATGAAATTTTATATTTTAGAACAATGAGGTTTACCAAAAAATTGAATGGATAGTTCAGAAAGTTTTTATATATCCCCTCTCTTTTCCCTATTGTTAACATCTGGCATTAGTGTAGTACATTTGTTACAATAGATGAATCAATTTTGATACATTATTATTAATAGTTCATATTTTACATAAGGATGAGTCTTTCTGTTCCAGAGTTGTATGTTTTTTTCCACAAATACATAGTACCATGTAGCATAATCTTATGTAACATTAATTACTGTGTCATATACAATAGTTTCACTGCTCTAAAAGTCCTCTGTGCTCTGTCCATCCATCCATACTTCCCCCAGACCCCTTGCAACACTTATCTTTTTCCTGTATCCACAGTTTTGTTTTTTCCAGGATGTCATGCAGCTGGAATCACACAGTATGCAGCCTTTTCAGATTGGCTTCTTTCACTTCACAATATACATTTAAATTTCCTCCATGTCTTCCAATGGCTTGATAAATCATTTATTTTTAACACTAAATAATATTCCACTGTATGCATGTGCCACACTTTATCCATTTAATTTCTGAAGGACTTTCTGATTAAGTCTATGTTTTGGAATGTATGAAAAATCTACTGTGAACATAAGTTTCCAAATCAGCAGAGTTAACACCAAGAAACACAATTGCCAGATCATATGATAAGATTATGTTCAATATTGTAAGAAACTGTCAAACTGTATTCCAAAGTGGCTGTACAAGAGAGTGTGCTTTTGTCTGTAACGGATCGATAGAAATGAAAGAAATTGTAAAAACTGAATATAAAAGTCAATCATCTTTTCAAAGAATAGCTGAAATAATGACTAGCATTTATAAGGTTTTATTACATTCATCATTTTACTTGATTTTAAAATCTTACAAGAAAAAAAGTATGTATTAAGTCAAATTTTATAAAAAAGAAAGTTGGTCCTCAGAAGCATTGTATGATTGACAGAAATTCACATGGTGTTTACGTGGAGCTGAAACTGATGATCAGTTCTTATGGGCCAGCCCTCTCCTTCTCTTCTGATTTGTTGTGTTTTTTGTACCTCAACATCTTCTTGGTTGGAAATGCTCCCTCATATTATCTGGCACATACTGTTGTCCAAGACAGTCTGACAAGATTGAGGAGATGTTGAGCCTCCAGCTGAAGAGCCTCGGAAAAGCTGTTCCTGGATTTCAACTGAAAACCCTGCTCTGTTAGGCAAGACCTGGTCTATTTTCTTGATTAAGTGCTCAGCCCAATGCCAAGTTGAGCTGTTCTATTTGGCTAAATATTTTGTCAAATACCCAGCAGCTTTTTTCAGTACAAAAGGAGGTGTGGCTATCTTTCATTCACCCACCATCTTCAGTCGCTGCAGAACGTCACTGAACCCGGCTTGGATTTTGTTAAACCAATGACAGTACAAAGCCTGGCACAGCAGCTTGTAGAGGTGGCCTGAGGGGTTTGGGATGTGGTCCTGGTTTTTACTACTGTGTCTACAGTTTAGGCCAAACATTTTTTCTCCAGTTCTTAGCCACTTAAAAAGAAATCATACTAAGTGTATAGAACACCCTTGACGTAGCCAACTCCATCTTAGAAAAAGACTTTATTTTATATTTCATAGAGCACTTTTCCAACAAGGATAAGATGTGTTGTCTACTAAACAAATTAAAAAATAAAAGACTGTATCCAACCAGATAAGGACTCAAACAAGCACACTCTTCCATGATCAGTTCTCATGGGAGGACTCTGTAACCGTAAAAGAGCAGGCCTTCAGCAGCTCGAAATAGCCATGTTAACTGATGCCATCTTGCAGTCACTGGTGATGAAAACTTGGCATCTGCTGCTGAAGTCTCTGCCACCTCAGAGACTCTTTCTTGCAAGACCAGTGGACCACCCGGCCTGGACCAGGACCGCTTTTCTCTTCTTCTCTCCCCTTGGACTGGTTTGTGATCCTTTCTCCTATCCCTTTTCCTTCTTGTGTTAAATGTTAGTTTGTTTGTTGTGAAATGTTAAACCTATAACATTTACATATTGATTAAGTATACTATTATGTATGGTTTGCAATATTGACTGACTTGTGGAGTGGCTTGAGTCTGTGTGCCCACAACGCTGACTACCAAGTGAATGAAAAGTACTAAGGAGAGTTGCCCCCTTGGGAACTCTATGTAGCTCATGGTGGCTTTTGTGATTGAAACAGCATCAATAAAATCCTGACATTGTGGAAAGACACAAGCATTTGTGGTCCTGGTTATTTCTAACTTTGCACCGCTCATGACACTAAGTCATTTACAAGGGTTTCCAGTTCTAATTTTCACATGAAAAGCTGGGTATTTCCTTCCCACTTTGCAATGCTATCCAATGCAAAAGCCAGTGCTATAGAGAAGGAAAAATATGACGCTGTCTACTACTTTTTTAAAAGAGAAAAGTTGGTAGAAATAGCTCCAACAACACTAACATCTGCACAGGGATCCCAAAAGTTTAAAAATGCTAGTGAATTGGAGAAGAAGCTGTAAAGTGATTACAGAAACTGCTAGTTAATAGGGCATTTCTTTCTCAACTACCTTTTGCTGTGTCTTCCAATGTAACAGTTAGTTACCATATTAAAAAACTAACATTACAGACTCCCTCCCCCATAAAGATTTAGTCTTGGCATTTCTACAAAACACATGATTCATTTTTTTTTAGCTCCAAATGTAGATAAAGGAGGAGTGTTTTCAGTGGTTACTCAAAGAAGAGATATTTGGATTTTCTAAATCTTGGTGTAAGTCTATGTAGATTTTTCTTTTACAGTTTTATGACAGTTTAGTCTCTTTCATATGTCTTTCAAACCTTGGCATCCCTAAATCTTTGACAAGCCAATTGATGGATTGTTTAAACAATATAGTCAAAATCACCAGTTCTTATGGAGCCATTGAAAATGGGCAGAATATGTAATATTAACTCAACATTTTGGGGCATTCATATACACAAACTGCAATCAGAGAAGTGATATGAGAGAAGACTTGGAATCAGTAGAAACAAAAGAAGAATAAACATGAGTGGTGTTTCTAGAACTCTGGCATTATTTGTGTGTGACTGTTACAGCAACTTCCCATTTTTGATGGGGGTACTGTTGATACACCATTTAGCACAGCTGGTATTGAAAGTTCCTGTCAGCATCATCCGTGGTATCCATGATACGACCCCATATATGCCTGAACAGGATGTGGAGGTTTTAGACCATCAGAATTCTTTCCTCATCACACCACATGTCCCCTAACATCTTGCCACAACTCTCTTCAAGGCACCCATCACATCCCTGTTCCTCAGACTGTAGATGAGAGGGTTTAATAAGGGTGTGAGGATGGTATAAAAGGCAGAGAAGACCTTATCTTTGATTGGGGTGTGGTAAGATTGGGGAAGCGTATACGTATACAAGGCAGCCCCATAGAACAATGTCACCACCATCATGTGTGAAGAGCAGGTGGCAAAGGCCTTCTTCCTCCCTTCAGCCGATGTCATCTGATGCACTGTGATGAGAATCCTGGTGTAGGATGCAGTCACCACCGAGAAGGGGATCAGCAGCATTGCAACGCAGCACACATACATCACTGTTTCATAGGTGGTTTTGTCCCCACAGGCCAGCCTCAGCATGGTGGGTGCCTCACAGAAAAAGTGATTGATTTGGTGAGAGGCACAGAACGGGAGACTCATGGTAATGGGGGTGAGGAGAAAACTGTCCAAAGCCCCACCGAACCAAGAGCTGGCCAGGATCATCCAGCAGACCCGCCAGCTGATGAGGACAGGATAGCGCAGTGGGTTGCAGATGGCCACGTAGCGGTCATAGGCCATGAGCCCCAGCAGGAAGAATTCAGCCCCCATAAAGCCCATGTAGAGAAAGCACTGAGCAGTGCAGGCGATGAAAGAGATGGTCCCCTCGCCCATGAGATAATCTACCAGCATCTTGGGCACAATGGTGGAGATGTATAATGTGTCAATGACGGAGAGGTGGCTGAGGAGGAAGTACATGGGGGTGTGGAGATGAGGGTCTATGTTAATCAGGAAGATCATGACCCCATTAGCTATCATGGCCATGAAGAAGACGGCACAAATGACACCGAAAAAGAATCCTGAGCATTTATTGTGAGTGAAGAGCCCCATGAGGGTAAAGCCTCTGGTCAAGGTTTCATTGTTTTCATTCATGGTACTGAGTTTGAAATGGAGGCATAAGAAGAGAAGCAGGGTCAATGAAAATGACAAAAGATAAATCACTTAAACATGTCTGTGTAAACATTATTAGATTAAAATCTTTTATGTAGCTAATATAAAACTTTTTTTGGTGTGGTAGATTTGTAGCTTCCTTTTTCTTGGCTATTTCTTTTTGATGAAGAATAATTTCAACATTAGGACCCCATGGGATGAAGATGAATGAATGTTTGGCAATTGATACTTGGCTTAAGGGAGTTTCATTATGATTGAAGAAAATCTGGGCCCTAGAGAGGATCCTTCATTTGGAGTTGGCTCCATTTACTTAAAATGTGGATACAACTGAAAGACTATTGATCCAATCAATTCAAACAACCCAATAAAATAATTCAATAGGCCATTGGCTCAAATTGGGAATTTCTGTGATAATTTTAAAACCTATTGGTCTCATCCAGAAATAACCATAAATTGTAGACACAACTGAAAACTATGTTGAACTGTAATAAACATGATTACATTATCTGCCTGATCATTGGTCATTCTTATGTGTTCCCTCACCATTTGTCAATTTCTCATCCATTTGCACACTTAATCTTTATTTATGGAGAGAGTACTGTGCAGTGTTCTAAGCTCTGGGGATACTGTAGTAAATAAAAAGAATATGAATCATGTGACTTACATTCTAGTTATGAAATAAGCACAGTAAATCAAAAGTGGGAACCATGGTTCCAGGTAATGCAAATAAGGGCTTTGCGGAAAACTTCAACACAGACAATGAAAGATAAAAGAAAATTCATGTGAAGATTTAGGGCTAGGGTGTTCCTACAAAATAAATAGCAAATGTGACATCCCTAAAGCAAAAAGGAGTTTGGGATAGTCAGGAAACAAAAGTCAGTTCAGGAAGAGAATTGCAAGTGATGAAGACAGTGAGATATTAGTGATCAGTTCTTCAAGGTATGCAGGCCGGGGTAAAGAGAACAGAATTATTTTCTAAGTGTTATCAGTAGAATTGAGTTGCAGTTTGTAACATGTAACAGTTTAACTTTAACATGTTCATTATGATCTTTCTGTTTTTTTCTTTTTATCTCTTTGGTACATTTGAGTCATTTTTTGTTTTTGCTTAGTGTTGTATTTTTGTGGGTCTTGAAGGCTTAGACTGGGATAGACCAGGTTGTGCTTTCTGTCCTAATGTCCTCCTCATTTCACTCAAAACTTCCTGATTTGGTTGGTCAGTCGTAAGCCTTGGAGATGGTGACTGAAGGAAATGCATAAAAGATCTTGTAGGCCAGAGGCAGGAAACCATACACAATCTTAGATAGCTATGGGTGGTGCATTCACATCTTGAATACACGATGAATATAAGAATATCTTTTAAAAGTTTCCTCATCAGGTTTAACACTCTTTGAAATCCAACTTGAATTTCGAATTCTTGGACCCTTCTGTGTGCACTCAGGTGTTACACCAGACAGAGAGGCAGATGATGTAGCAGTAAGTGCACAGAGCCGGCAGCCAGCTTCCAGAACACCGTTTTGGAGTAGGGGGTTGCTCAATTCTGAAATACTTGCACTGAGAATGCTTGTTTGGGGTTCTGGCTTCATCATTTGCAATGTGCCCTAATGCACATTACTTAAAAACTTAGAGCCCGTTTCCTGATCTATAATTAGGATATCACAGGAAACTTACGGGATGTTGTCATGATCAAACGTCATGTAACATATGCAAAGGACCACAGCTGAGTAAATTCAAATGCTAATCTATGATAAGCTGTTGCGCTTGTGAGAGAATGCTGATAATGAGGACACACAATATCTTGCCGAAGGCAATATTGCATTTCTTAGCTACTGTGTGTATACCACAGGCACAAACAATAGGAGACACACTCTAAAAAGCACGTGTCACCTGTTGAGCACTAGGGGACACACTCTAAAATTATGTGTCACCTGTTGAACACTAACTAGGCAGGGCTGCAGGCTTGTGCATTGTCTTGTGAGTTATTTAAAATGATAAAATCTCAGAACATTCTTCCTGATCATGCAAATAATTGCCATTAGAGGAATCTTTTAGCAAAAGATATGGACTCGTAAAAGACTAGTTTCTGGGAAAACTGATTCCAGGAAGAAGACTGTCATTTCCTAAGTTCACTCTCAGATTAAACAGTGACTATCAAGATGTTAGGTAATAGCATTACATGAACAACAGGGCCTAAAAAATAATTTGCAAGTGTCTACATATTCTCCAGGGTGGCCTGTTTCAAACTTCTCAGTACATGCTCACGAAACCACAGAAACGATTCAATTTTTTATCTATACTGAAAATTAAAAATCTTGAGTACTAGAAAAAGATGAACCCTAGCGACTCCTCAGTAGAGAAAAGCCTCTTCGGTTTTGGCCAGCACATGTACAAGGTCTCTCATGGCGTGAACCACTCAGAAAAAGGATTGGCTGTGTGTCTCTGTGCCAGATTTTCTCTGCAGCAGGGTCTGCTTCTCTGCTTTCCCCATTCTTACCCTCCCCTAGCCAAGAAATTATGGAGAAAAAGGGTAGAGTTTTGCAAGTAGACCAACAAAGGAGGTTCTTGAAGGAGTGTTCTCAGCACAGTGAACAGGAGACTTCATTTAGGAAAGTGAGAAATACACAGACACAAGGAAAAATGCTAGCTAACAAGAAATCGAAACTTTTCCTTTCTAAGTTTTTCCTTCTCTTTCAACAAAAATTCAAACATAACTGCACAGTTTTGCTTACCGGTTTAGAAGAGGCTGAGTGGATCAGGTGGTGAGGGGAAAAACGGGCTGAAGATTTATTCTGTCCACTGTCCACCCAAAATGCAGATCCTCCATCTAATGGGTAGCATCTCATCTAACGAGCTCCTCGTGAGGACCTGATGAATCAGAAGGAGCTTCCCGCAATGTCAATGGGAGCAGAAACAGACGATAACATTAGGGAGCACTTCAGGAGAGGATGAACACACTCAGGCTAGTGCAGTGCTTTCTCCATGATGATAACACTAGGAAACACTTCAGGATAGGATGAGCACACTCAGGCTAGTGCAGTGCTTTCTCCATGATGATAACACTAGGAAACACATCAGGATAGGATGAGCACACTCAGGGTAGTGCAGTGCTTTACCCATGACAATAACATTAGGAAACACTTCAGGAGAGGATGAGCACACTCAGGCTAGTGCAGTGCTTTCTCCATGATGATAACACTAGGAAACACACCAGGATAGGATGAGCACACTCAGGCTAGTGCAGTGCTTTCTCCATGATGATAACACTAGGAAACACATCAGGATAGGATGAGCACACTCAGGCTAGTGCAGTGCTTTACCCATGACAATAACATTAGGAAACACTTCAGGAGAGGATGAGCACACTCAGGCTAGTGCAGTGCTTTCTCCATGATGATAACACTAGGAAACACTTCAGGATAGGATGAGCACACTCAGGCTAGTGCAGTGCTTTACCCATGACAATAACACTAGGAAACACATCAGGATAGGATGAGCACACTCAGGCTAGTGCAGTGCTTTACCCATGATGATAACACTAGGAAACACTTCAGGATAGGATGAACACACTCAGGCTAGTGCAGTGCTTTCTCCATGATGATAACACTAGGAAACACTTCAGGATAGGATGAGCACACTCAGGCTAGTGCAGTGCTTTACCCATGACAATAACATTAGGAAACACTTCAGGAGAGGATGAGCACACTCAGGCTAGTGCAGTGCTTTCTCCATGATGATAACACTAGGAAACACATCAGGATAGGATGAGCACACTCAGGCTAGTGCAGTGCTTTCTCCATGATGATAACACTAGGAAACACTTCAGGATAGGATGAGCACACTCAGGCTAGTGCAGTGCTTTCTCCATGACGATAACACTAGGAAACACATCAGGATAGGATGAGCACACTCAGGCTAGTGCAGTGCTTTACCCATGACAATAACATTAGGAAACACTTCAGGATAGGATGAGCACACTCAGGCTAGTGCAGTGCTTTACCCATGACAATAACATTAGGAAACACTTCAGGAGAGGATGAGCACACTCAGGCTAGTGCAGTGCTTTCTCCATGATGATAACACTAGGAAACACATCAGGATAGGATGAGCACACTCAGGCTAGTGCAGTGCTTTCTCCATGATGATAACACTAGGAAACACTTCAGGATAGGATGAGCACACTCAGGCTAGTGCAGTGCTTTCTCCATGACGATAACACTAGGAAACACATCAGGATAGGATGAGCACACTCAGGCTAGTGCAGTGCTTTACCCATGACAATAACATTAGGAAACACATCAGGATAGGATGAGCACACTCAGGCTAGTGCAGTGCTTTCTCCATGATGATAACACTAGGATACACTTCAGGATAGGATGAACACACTCAGGCTAGTGCAGTGCTTTCTCCATGATGATAACACTAGGAAACACACCAGGATAGGATGAGCACACTCAGGCTAGTGCAGTGCTTTCTCCATGATGATAACACTAGGAAACACATTAGGATAGGATGAGCACACTCAGGCTAGTGCAGTGCTTTCTCCATGATGATAACACTAGGAAACACTTCAGGAGAGGGTGAACACACTCAGGCAAGTGCGGTGCTTTACCCATGACAATTAAAAACAGTTCCAGGATGAGACGTTACAAGAAAGGCTGCAAAGAAGAGCGCTGAAGACATAAAATTTTGTTAGGGTTGTGGAGGATAAAACTTGAGTAGCTCTCCAGGATGCAGAAAGGCAGATATTAAATGGTAAGAAAGATAGACATGGGCCGGGCACGGTGGCTCACCCCTGTAATCCCAGCATTTTGGGAGGCCAAAGTGGGTGGATCACCTGAGGTCAGGAGTTCAAGACCAGCCTGGCCAACATGGTGAAACCCTGTCTCTACAAAAGTTAGCCAGGCATGATGGCGGGTGCCTGTAGTCCCAGCTACTCTGGAGGCTGAGGTGGGAGGATCGCTTGAACCAGGGAGGCAGGGGTTGCAGTGAGCTGAGATTGCACCATTGAACTCCAGCCTGGGCAACAAAGCAAGTCTCCATCTAAAAAAAAAAAAAAAGAAAGAAAGAAAGGTAGACATGGAGTATTGGAATTACAAAAGCAAAATATAAATAATCAGTGTTTTAAAAAGAGTGATTTCACAAATAGGAGAGAATTATTAATAAAAATTGAAAAGGAAAACTTGGGAAAGGAACAAAAAGACTCTGTATATGGATGTTTCATTTCATTAATAAATACACTGTGTGTGTCTGGGAAAGTTATTTGAAGTAAAAGCATCTGGCAGCATCTAATAAAAACATAGTTGCATGCAAACAAAACACAAGAAAAGGAAAACACAGTCACCTACACAGGCTAAAATTCACACTGACCACAGGTGTCTTCCTGATAAATTCCAAATAAAAGTGAAAAAATGTCTAAACTGAAGATATACAATGTTGCAGTAAAAAGAGAGAGCTCTGGAGCCAGAATTTCCTTGGGTTTGACCCTTTCTCCACCACCAAATTGTGTGGCCACGGATACTGAAATTACTTTTGTATCCATTTCCCCCATTTGCTCTGTAATAATAGAAAGGGCCCAAGTTTCAAAGTTTACATCATTCACACACATCAGTTTCTTAGACTAGTATCTAGAATGTGCTATCTGTTCAGTAAAACTTATTATCGATATCATTAGATACATTTTAGTTGAGAGTAATGTGTGGCTCAAACAGGAAGACATTCTGAGATAAATTAGGGGGGATAAACAGTAAGATACAGCTGAATATTTTTGTAGATGAAACAAAATTAAGAAAAGGGAAGAAACTGTAATATTACTAACAGTAAACGTTGAATTCAGGTTAAATATATATATATTTAAAAATAATGTAAATATGATTGCCTTATTGCATAGAACTCAAAAGATTCTTATCAACAAAGACATATATATGTAGAAATAGATAGATACATATATATCTATGACATCTAATCTGTAGACACAGACATACCTATCTCTGTCTATACAGAAAACAGGGTCTGAAAATGGAATGCTAATACTATACATGCAAAACAAATTCTATTTAAATAGAATGTAAAATTAAGAAGTACCAGAAAGCAGCTTTCATTCATTTATGTATTTATACATTCAAGTATTTATTGTGATCCAGTATTCACTAGACATTTTTCTAGGAGCAGAAGATACCATTAACAATATTCCCTCTTTCTTGGAACATACAGGGCAAAGGGCTGATTATAAATAAAAACATATACAATTATGAAGAATCTAACATTTTTTCTAAGTAAATGAGCCAGAAAAAAAAATACATTT
Source organism: Homo sapiens (assembly GCF_000001405.40). Taxonomy (NCBI): domain Eukaryota; kingdom Metazoa; phylum Chordata; class Mammalia; order Primates; family Hominidae; genus Homo; species Homo sapiens. The sequence continues at coordinate 248,381,292 of NC_000001.11, read as the reverse complement.
TTTTTTTCTGGAGCCTATGACTCCAACACAGAGGCAACTATAAGAATAAGAACAATTTTGAAAAAGATTAACCAAATCAGTTACTGGTATTAAAATGAGTTAAAAGAATGTTTGTATGTGTGTACATGTGTGTTTGGGTGTCTATTAAAATGGTTTAAAATAATGAAAGAAAAAAAGGCATAACAGCACAGGAAATTAACGCGAAGCATATGATGAAATGAGATAGAAACAACTAGGTTAATCATGGCTACAACATCATTCAGAGTAAACATCCGCTTTCAAAGTGTAGATTTACTCTTCAAAGAAAACAAAACAAAATGTACAAAATGGAAAAGAAAACTAAAAAAATGCAAAAAGGAATGACATAGTATATATAAACTACAATATGAGGTGATATTATAAATGGAACAAAGAGAACAATTCTGTAATTTGGATTTTAAATGGAAATGCATTATGTGCTTAATATATTCAGTTAGCTTCCATAGGACAATCTCTTTTTTTTTTTTTACTAAAATATATTAGAATTCTAAAATCATAATAATAGGTTCACATCTAAATCAGAGAATTTGAAATACTTTAACGTATGCCTAAAACACTACTTAGACCAAAGGAAGTTCAAACTTTCATTAAATTAAATATATTATGTATGGAAGCCTATAGGATATAGCTAAAGATGTATCCAGACAAAATTTTATAACCTCTAATAATGTAATTCTTATAGAAAAAATATGTGATGTTAATAAAGATTCAACCCAATACATTAGAAAAATATCTGCAAAATACATTTAAATAAGAGAAAGACCATATAAAAGACTTAAATAGATATTAATGGATTTTAAAATAAGCAGACTGAATATTTAAAGTTGATTCTTTAAAACTGAAACAAAATAGACCTATTTCTGGCCATGCTAATGATATTTGAGGGCAGAAAGGATGACACAAAACATCATTAAAAGTAAGAAAAATGATCCAACTACAGATATGAGAAGAGTGATAAAATATTTATAGTATGAGAAGTTATTTTAACATTATATTAATATAGTTTGAAATTTTAATGAAGAAGACGATTTTAAAGTATAGTTTTGTATGAGTGCATGCATACACATAATATGCATATATAGTTATAAGTAGATATAATGCATACACACAAATATAGTCAAAATTCTTAATATGCATATATAATTATAAGTAGATATAATACATACACACATACAGTTAAAATTCTTAATATTCATATATAATTATAAGTAGATATAATGCATACACACACATATAGGTGGGGGGAGGGACAGCATTAGGAGATATACCCAATGTAAATGACGAGTTAACGGGTGCAGCACACCAACATGGCACATGTATAAATATGTAATAAACCTGCACGTTGTGCACATGTACCCTAGAACTTAAAGTATGATAAAAATAAATCAAAAAAAAGAAAATACCAAAGAAGATCTCTAAATTTGGAACAATTTAAAAGTTTTAATGGAATTCTGCTTTCCCAAAATTCCTAGTTCAGAAAACATCCCATAAAAATCTTCTAAGGACAGAAAATTTAAAAATCTTTGTACACAAAAAAATGGAATTAATTAATCATTTATTTTATAAATATATATAGCCTTCAAAAGACAGAAAACTCTCATAATTATAAACCAAGTTCACATATATAAATATTTCCCAAATGAATATTAATTATTGAACTCAGAAGTATATTAATAACAACACATCTTCAAACCTGTTCATATAAACTCCCTCTTTTCCCATTCTATCCCCCTTCAAAGATTCTTGGTTGTTTGTGAGCTAAAGATCAAGTTTTGATTGTGGTTTGTATGTCCCTAAGTGACCTGGATACTCAGCTCTCTACTCTGCAGCACTCTGTCAATTCCTGGCACCTCTCTCCCAGAAAATAGCCTGACTCAGGAGCTCTCTCTGCCTGGAGCACAATTCTCTCTTCATCTGGTTACTGTAGACCCAGGTCTCAGGTCACTTATACTTCTTGCAGGAATCCCCTATGGTTTTAATAACAATGTCAAATGCCCCAGCATATATGAACAAGTAGTTACTCATAATATCAACAACATATCAACAAAAATATTTCTTTTTCTTTTTCTTTTCCTTTTTGAGACAGGAACTTGCTCTGTTCCTCGGGCTGGAGCACAGTGGCACGATCACTGCTCATTGTAGCCTCAACCTTTTGGGCTCAAGCAATTGTCCTACCTCAGCCTCCTGCGTAGCTGGGACTATAGGCACAGACCACCATATCCAGCTTATGTTTTTGTATTTTTTGTAGAAACAGGGTCTTGCCATGTTGTCCAGGCTGGTCTTGAACTTCTGGCCTGAAGAAATCTTCCTGTCTTGGTCTCCCAAAGTATTGGGATTACAGACATGAGCTACCGCACCCAGACACAAAAAAAATTTCTATATAATAACAATAAAAATGGTAAAATAACTGGTAATATGCTAAACTTTTGGAGAACATTTATAAAACTAAATAATTCAGTATTAATTTAAAAAGCAATAGAAAATTATTCTAGAGGAATTTGTCAAAATGATTATAAATTTGATCTGAAAGGACAAACACATATGAATTGTCTGGGGAAAAACAATGCTAAAAATTGACTTTGACCTCTGTAGGACCAGTGTGAAATGTAAAGGATGAGTAACTGAATAGAAAAAACAAGGCTCAACAACTAAACGGAAGAGTATCTGGAAATAAACACTGCTGTCTCCCGCCAAAATACAAAAAAACCCACATATGCGCAAATGTTTCACACAAGTAAGATGAGAATTCGGATAACTGGGAAAGGTAGAGTTTATATATATGAAGAAAACAAAATTGCAACTTAGAGGTAAAGAGTAAGACTTTAAAACGCACACTCCAGATCAAGTGGCTCAAAAACTTAAGTACAAGAAATAAATACATTTCTTTATGAAAACTTTTTTATGATGTTTGAGTCTCTTTAATGAAAAGGTATGTTGTTTGTATTCTGAAAAAATGCTAAAGTAATGACAATAAATTAGGATTTTTATTGTGAAGAAGCGGGGAACATCACACACTGCTAGTGTAAGTACAAATTGAAACCATTTTTTTCTGTAAGCGTCTGGCATTTAGCAAACTTAAAAAATCCATCTTTTAGCCATTTTCATCAGTTTATTCTGAGGAAATAAATAGTATGAAGTGGGAATAATATATGAAGACATTAAATAAATTATTGCCATTGATTGTGAAAATAAACTAGAAACAATCTTAATGATCAACATTAATGGGTTGACTAAATCAAACATTGCTCAATTTACATTATACTCATTGATAATGGTGTAGCTTAGTTGTCTTTTCATGTAAAGATATACATAATATATTTTTAAGTAGGAAACATAGCACTGCCTGTTTACAAACATATATGTGCATAGATAAATTATAATCACGTGTAGTCAGCCTGGAAAGTTTTGGGTTGGGATAGGAAAAAAATGCGCCCAAAGGCAGAAATGAAGCTCAAGGTAGAGCAATCAGGAGATTTTGCTGAACTGAATGGAGATTGAAGAATCAGGAATACACTTTACCAGAGCATCCGTGAATCTGATTATTTATTTTACTCATCACATACTATGAACTTTGTATTTCATGCCTTTCCAAATAAGATGGACCACACTCGGATGGTTACCAGAGTTTAATGAAGACATCTTGAGTCTTTCTGTGACGCGCTCTGACAGGGGCGAGCCCCATGCTGCCCTTGCCCTCATGACACCTCTTCAACTTGTTTCTACAACTCTCTTTGTTGTTTTTATTTGCTGCATGCTTCTGCCTCCTCAAATATAATATGAGCTCTTTGAGGGTAGAGTCATCCTCTAAATAGTCCTTATATCAACAGCCATTAGCACAGCCTTGTATGTATTAGGTGGTCTATACATCAATTGATTACTCCTAGAACACTTTATCTTTTCCCATTTCAAACTCATACTAATAATTTGAGAGCACAAATGACAGAAGATTTGCTTTGATATCTTCTATGATATTGCATTGTGACAAGTGGCTAACTTTGAAGACCACTTAAATGCAAATAAAACTGATCTTTGGAAAAGAAAGCAAGCTAATGACGCAGTCCAGAAGGCAATAGGAATATGTAGGCCACTTGGTCCCTTCTAACCTCACAGGAAGTGTTATGCCCGTGCTTTCAACATAGCCAGACTGACAACATCTGACCAACCAACCATCACACGATAGCAAGAATGTTCCTGTCTTTCAGATACTGTCTCTTAGTGTGTCCAAAATGGGTCACAAAAAGCAATCAATAAAATAAGTTCACAAAAGAGTGACTGAATCTATCAAAATGCTATCAGGGTAGTTGACCATTTTTAAACATTTTTTCAAGAAAGTGATGTTTGTTTTAAATAAGTGAGTGGCACTTATGAATAAGAGCTCAACATTTATATACTCATAGACATAAAGATGGCAACAACAGAAAATAGAGACTGCTAGAAGGAAGATAGAGGGGCAAGGATCAAAAACTAACTATTGGGTATATGCTAGGTGCCTGTATGATGGGATCATTTACACCCCAAACCTCACCGTCACAAAATATTACCAGCTAACAAACCTGCACATGTACCACCTGAATCTAAAATAAAAGTTGAAAAAAATTTAAAAATTAAAAAAATTAAATACATACATGAGTGGGTATTTTATAGATGAAACAACAGAAAATGTACAGCCTTCCTCAAGTGTTTCCATGGTTATTGATGCCCAACTGGTGACTCCATTTAATTGTAAAAGTTCCACTTTTCCCTGAAAAATGTATTTTTAAGTGTGCTAAATGAAGAGTTTGACAGTATTCAGGAACAGTTCAACAGTAACCTATGTTTTTAGTTTTGACAACTAAGTTTTTGTCTAGTCTTTCCTTTGTTAGTTCAGTTAAAAGTATTTACCTCTGTACTCCTGGATTATGCTTAATTCATTTCCTTCAATCAAATCTTCTTAAAGTAAACATGCCAATTACTCATACCTCCACCAAAATTCCTACCTTCCAATCCCATTCGATTTAATTATTTTGATCATCTTACCTAATTCCCTGTAACTTAGAAGATATCACATTTGTGGGAACTGAACATGCACAAAATATCTGAATTATCTTAAATGAGTGAACTTCCCTATTTGTTTTTCTCCTACTCACACACATTATCTAAGAGAGCCAAATGGCTTTCTTACTGTGAGTATGGAGATATAAGTTGATGATAGTGGATCACTTACAGGTATAATATATCCAGAGAGAGGAATATTAGGTAAAGACAAAATTGTTTACAAACAACTTCACAAGAGGTGAGACCTTAGAAACAAGAGATAAAAGGGAACCTTCTTGATCTTCTTTTTTTCTGTCTTCATATTAGTATCTTTCCTTGAAAAGATGAGAGGAGATCCAGGTTAAAAGGCAAAAGCTTCAAAAAAAAAAAGAGAGTGCCAGTTAGAGGTATTTGAAGATGACCACTTAACTGAAGGCATGGATGTCATACTTCAGCACTGTGCACACAGCTCCAGGAACCAAAGAGGGAAGAGTTTAAGTAATCTAGTATGTGACATCATAAACATCCTGAGATTTCTCATGGAGAAAACTCCTTCTAATAATCCAGAAGGAATATCAACTAAACTGGTTCTGATGGGTACTGAAAACTGTACTCAAAACATGTAAGTGGCAAGCAGAGAATGTGTTCCACAACAAATGCCTGGGCTGCCTCCTCTGCAGTTTGTTTGTTTGTTTTGTTTTTAATTAACAGCTTGAGAACAGCTGTTTAATGCATGTTTCATCACAAAACTCTGTTGTTTGTTTCCCTAGAGGGCAAATGAGTAATATTGGAAAAATACCCAAGGAAGAGAAGAGAAGTTTTTTATGTGGTCATTTAATTTCTCACTTTAACAATAGTCATGATCTAATCTTTTCATTTTTCTCTTGCATTAAGCAGCTTCCCAATAAACATCACTCATTTACTAAATGTCACTAAGAAAAACTTTTAATTGCCAATTCAGTAAAGGTACCAAACAATCTTTTAAGAAAATATATCAGGCAGGCTCTTGATGAACAGGTTAGTGTAAAAATCCAACTTATGGAAACTATTGCTACAAAACCCTTTTGAACACATGATAAGAGATGAAGTTGATGAAAATCACTTTATACTCGATGGGTGGCTCTCATTCTCCTGAGCTCAGGCGACCTGCCTGCCTCGGCCCCCGAAACTGCTGGCATTATAGGCGTGAGCCACTGTGACCGGCCTGGTTGCATTCTCTTGATGCATAAGGTGTACGGTTATGAATCATTTTTGTTTAGTCTTCTCATAGTAATATATATGAATGTAAATTATATTGTATTACCGATGTATCAACTTTAAATGATAAATCTATGCCTGGTTTAAAAGATGAAATTAACACGTGCATATGTGCTGTTTTCCAACATTCTATTTTTTTGCCTGCTAAGTTTTGTTAGTTATATTTTGCTACTTATCTTGTGACACATCATAACATACACATTCAATTTTTAACTGTAGAGATATCAACTGGGCTTTAAATGTGTTTAATCGTAAAACCTAAAGAAAACGAAACAGCATGTAAAATAGTTTGTGTCAATGTTAGTTCCAAGAAAAGGAAACAATGTGACTTAAAGGTTTAATGGATTCTTGACTCTTTTCCATTTCAGATTGCCTCTCTCTGCGCCTTCCACCATCCACCTCAGATTTCCTTATTCATATACATGGCAACTTCTATTAGTTTTTTTTAAGGGATACTACTCATGTGAAAATGCCTACATCTTAGTTTTAGCACATACACACATATATATAAATGTAACAAATATTTATATGTACATAAATATATATTTATGTGTGTGTGTATATAGAGAAAGAGAGGATATGAGTTGTAAAGTAAAAAATGCAAACATAGACAATGACAATATTAGGTAGCCATAACTGGAAACACTTTATATGTACAAAAGAGAATCATGACAGGCATAATAAGCTCAGTTATGTTATTTTAAAGGAATCAAAATTTGGAAGGAGGAGGAACAAGACGGCAGAATAGAAGGCTCCCCCAATTGTTCCCACTGCAAGGACACCAATTTAATAACTGCCTACACACAAAAAGCACCTTTATACAAACAAAAATCAGGTGAGCACTCACTGTACCTGGCCTTAACTTTATATTGCTGAAAGAAGCACTGAAGAGATAGAAAAACAATTGTGAATTGCAAATGCACCCTTGCCTCATTCCCCAGCAGCATCAGCATGGTGCAGAGAGCAATTCTGTGCTCTGGGGAGAGGGAGAGCACAGCAATCGTGAGTCATTGAACTCAGCGCTGCTCTGCTGGAGCAGAAAACAAAGCTGGACCAAACTCAGCTGATGCCCATCCATGGAGGGAGCATTTAGACTAGCCCGAGGGCAATTACCAATCCCAGCCGTCTGAACTTGAGTTCCTGCAAGCCTTTCCACCATGGACTAAAGTGCTCTGGGGCCTTAAAAGAAACATGAGAAAAAGAAACCAGGCCACAATGACCACAACTCCTAAATGAGTCCAAGTGCTGACCTGGCCCAGAGCCTGTGGACTATGGGGGGACACAACCTACTGAGACACCAGCCAGAGCAAGTAAGGGGGTGCTGGAACCCCTCCCCTAGCCCCAGGCTGCACAGTTTGTGGCTCCTAAAAAACCCCTTCCCTCCACTTGAGAAGATAAGAAAGAGTGAGGACTTTTTCTTGCATCTTGGAATCAGCTCAGCCACAGCAGGAGAGGGCACCAATCAGAGTCATCAGAAATCGCTACAACTAATCAGTACCACTGTGCCAAAGCTTTGAGAATTTCATCATTGATCTAATCATTGCTCCACCCCCTAGCTCCAGGCCCCAGATTGTGGACATTTCTAGACACTCCTTGGGCCAAAAGGGAACCTGTTATTATGAAGGGAAGAACCCAATCCTGGAAGCATTCATCACCTGCTAACTGAAGGGCCCTTGAGCCCTGAATAACCAGCAGTGATACCCAGGTACCACGTTGAGGACCTTAGGTGAGCCTCTGAGATTACTGGCTCACAGATGAGACTCAGCACATTCCCACATGTGGTGGCTATGGGGTGAAACTCCTTCTGCTTTAAAAAAAAAAAGTGGAGGAAAGAGTAAACGGGACTTCGTCTTGGACTTTAGGTATTAGCAAGGCCTTAGGAGGGTAGAGCACCAAGTGGGCTCTTGGTTTCCTCAATTCTCGGACTTGGCTCTTGGGCAGCATTTCTGGTCCTTCCCTGGGCCAGAGGGGAGCCCACTGTCCTGAAGGATGAGTCCCAAGCCAAGGAGCCTTCCCCACAAGCTGACTGAAGAGCGCTTGGGCCTTGAGGGAACATCAGCAGTAGACTGGCAACACTTCCCATGGGCATGTGCTGGCCGTGGCCATAGGGTGAGGCTCCTCTGCTTTTGAAAGGGAAGGGGAGAGTGGGAAAGACAGTATCTTGTGGTTTGAGTGCCAGCTCAGCTGCAATACAACAGAATATCGGGTAGATTTCTAAGGTTTTTTACTTTTGTCCCTGGCTCCCAGATGTCACCTCTGGACCTTCCTGGGGCCTACGGGACCTTGATACCCCGAAGAGAAAGATACAGGCCTGGCTGGCTTTGTCACCTGCTGATTTTAGAGCTGCAGTGCCCTGAGCAAACATGAGTGGTAGTCAGGAAGTGGTTACAGCAGGCCGTGGCTGAGATTCAGTGTTGTGCTAGCTGCAGGCCTGAACCAGGGCACTTTTAGTGGTGGTTGCCACGGTGGTGCTTGTATAACTCCACTCTTATCTCCAAGTGGCTCAGAACACAGACAAAGATTTCATTTGTTTGGGAGAAAGTAAGGGAAGAGAACAAGAATCTTTGTCTGGTAATCTGTAGAATTCATCCAGATCTTGTTCAAGAATATCAAGGCGGTACCTCAATGAGTCTCAAGAACTACAGAATTACTGGGCTTAGTGTGCCCCCTAAGGTAGACACAGCTTAGATCACAACACACATGTACTTTTGAATATCTTGAATGCCTTCCCAAGTAGGATGTGTACAAAAAGCCCAGATAGTGAAGACTACAATAAATACGTAACTCTTCAATGCCCAGACACTAAACATCTACTATCATCAACACCATTCAAAAAAACATGACCTTACCAAATAAACTAAATAGCCAACAGGGAACAATCCTGGAGAAACAGAGATATGTGACCTTTCAGACAGGGAATTCAAAGTAGCTGTTTTGAGGAAACTCAGGGAAATCCAAGCTAACACAGAGAGGGCATTCAGAAGTCTATCAGATAAATTTAACAAAGAGATTGAAAACATTAAAAAGAATCAAGCAGAAATTCTAGAGCTGGAGAATACAATTGGCATGCAATACACTAGAAAGATCACTCATCATGACCAAGTGGGATTTATCCCTGAGATGCAAGGATGGTTCAACATAGGCAAATTTATCAATGTGATGAATCATATTAACAGATGAAGGATAAAAGCCATATGATCATTTAAATTGATGTTAAAAAAAAGCACTTGATAAAATGCAACATCCCTTCATGATAAAAACCATTAAAAAACTGAAGATAGAAGGAGCATAACTCAACATAATAAAAGCTATATATGACAGACACACAGCTAGTATACTGAATAGGGAAAAACTAAAACCCTTTCCTCTAAGGTCTAGATTATGACAAAGATGTCCACTTTCTCTACTATTATTCAATATAGCACTGGAAGTCTTAGCTGGAGCAATTAGACAAGAGAATGAAATAAAGGGCATCCAAATTGGAATGGAAAAAGTAAAATTATTCTTGTTTGTGGATGATATCACCTTATATTTGGAAAAACCTAAAGACGTTACCAAAACCTCTTGGAACTGATGAACAAATTCAGTAAAGTTGCAGGATACAAAATTAACATTTAAAAGTCAGAAGCATTTCTATCTGCCAACAGTGAACAATATGAAAAAATGTAATCTCATTTATCATAGCCATGAATAACATTAAATACCCAGGTATTAACTTAACCTCAGAAGTGAAAGATCTCTACAATAAAAACTATAAAACACTGATCAAACAAATTGAAGAGGAAACAAAAAAATGGAAAGATATTCCATGTTCATGAATGGGAAAAATAAATATTCTTAAAATGTCCATACTATCTAAAGCAGTATACAGATTCAATGCAGTCCCTATCAATATACCAATGACATTTTTTACAGAAATGGAAAAAACAATCCTAAAATTTATAGCAACCCATAAAAGACCCTGAATAGACAAAACTATCTTTAGCAAAAACCACAACTAGAGGAATCACATTAATTGACTTCAAATTATACTACAGAGCTATATAAACAAAATAGCAGGATACTGGCACAAAAACAGACACACAGACCAATGGAACAGCATAAAGACCCAAAAAGGAAATCCACACACCTACAGTTAACTCATTTGCAATCAAAGATGCCAAGTACATACATTGGGGAAAAGACAGTCTCTTCTATAAATGTGCTGGGAAAACTGGATATTCACATGCAGAAGAATGAAACTACACCCCTATCTCTTGCCATATACAAAAATCAAATCAAAATGGATTAAAGAGTTAAATCTAATACCTCAAATTATGAAAGTACTACAAGAAAACATTGGGAAAAGTCTCCAGGACATTGGTCTGGGCAAAGATTTCTTAAGTAATACCCTACAAGCACAGACAACAGAGCAAAAATGGACAAATGGGATCCCATCAAGTTAAAAAGCTTCTGCACAGCAAAGGAAACTTATCAATCAATGAAATGAATAGACAATCCACAGAATGGGAGAAAATATTTGCAAACTACCCATCTGACAAGGGATTAATAACCAGAGTATATAAGGAGCTCAAACAACTGTCTAGAAATCTAGTAATGTAATTATAAAATGGGCAAAAGATCTGAATGCACATTTCTCCAAAGAAGACATACGAATTGCAAACACGCATAGAAAAGGGTGCTCAACATCATTGATTATAAAAGAAATGCAAATCAAAACTATAATGAGATATAATCTCACCCCAGTTAAAATGGCTTACATCCAAAAGGCAACAACAAATGCTGGCAAGGATGTGGAGAAAAGAAAACCATTGTACACTCTTGGTGAGAATGTAAATTAGTATAACCACTATGAAGAATGGTTTGGAGGTTCCTCAAGAAACTAAAAACAGAGCCATCATATGATCCATCGATCCCCCGGGGATATACCCAAAATAAAGGAAAAGAGATCAAAGAGATATCTGCACTCGTATGTTTGTTGTGGCACTTTTCACAATAGTCGAGATTTTGAAGCAACCTAAGTATCCATCAACAGATAAATGGATAAAGAAAATGTGGTACTTATACACAATGGAGTACTATTCAGCTATAAAAAATAATGAGATCTTTTAATTTGCAACAACATGGATGGAACTGGAGGTCACTATGTTAAGTGAAGTAAGCCAGGCACAGAAAGACACACATTGCATGTTCTCACTTATTTGTGAGATCTAAAAGGAGAATTAATTTATTTCGGGAAAGGAAGAACGGTTTCTTGTTCTGTTTAATAAACCTTGACATTGAGATGCACTCAAGAGCCTGGGGTAGAAGTGGAGAAATGACCCACATTACCTCTGCCCTTCTAAAGCCTAGAGCAGGCAGATCAGGTCACTCCAGGTGAAAAGAACACTCAGGAGTGGATGGAGCAGGCAATGTGCCCTTTAAGAGGAGCAGGGCAGAAGTCTTCAAGGAATGATAAAATCATTGCCCAAAAGTTATGAATTTCCTGTACAATATAAAATGTTCTCAGCCACATAACAAAACTCAAGAGAATTCTACAAAGTTTGAAATATGCAGTCCATATCCCTAAGCCATATTGAATTAAACCAAGAAAACAACTTAACAAAAATATATGCATTAATGACCACAGTTATGATCAATAATTACAGCAATAGGCCAGATGCCGTGGCTCATGCCTGTAATCCTAACACTTTGGGAGGCCGAGATGGGTGGATCACTTCAGACCTGGAGTTCAAGACAAGCCTGGCCAACATAGGAAAACTCCATCTCTACTAAAAATACAAGAAATTAGCTGGGTGTGGTGGCCCACGCCTGTAATCCCAGCTAGTCTGAAAACTGATGGATGAGAATCCCTTGAAGCCAGGATGTGGAGGTTGTCTCCAGCCTAGGGGACAGAGCAAGACCCTGTTAAAAAAAAATTACAGCAATGTCCAGATGCACAGTTTCCTTGTACAGTCTCTCTAGTTCAAGAAAATTGTATTAGCGTTCATGTATACTGATTTGAAACTTGTATTTAAATTCATTTCACTTATGTTTTACAAATGATTTTTTTTATTTTTATTTTGAGACAGAGTCTCACTCTGTTGCCCAGGCTGAAATGTGGTGGTATGATTCATGGCTCACTACACCCTCAACCTTCTGGGCTCAACTGATCCTCCCATATCAGCCTCACAAGTAGCTTGGACTATAGATACCTGCTACCATGCCAGGATAATTGTTTTATTTTTTGTAGAGATGGGGTCTCAGTATGTTGCCCAGGCTAGTCTTGAACTCCTGGACTTAAGCAATACTTCCACCTCCGCCTCCCAGAGTGTTGGGATTACAGGTGTGATCCACCATGCCTGGCCCCAAATGATTTTGATTTCCCTTTTCCCCTATGTAAGTTTACTTCATTGTCCTGATTCTTCTATGTAATTTTTATTCCACTAGCCGTTCCCTAAATTTTTCTTTTCAATATTAAATGATGTTTTCAAAATATAAATTTCACTGTTAAGTATTTTGAACAAATCGTATTTATGACTTCATGGTAGACATTTACTTAATACAATTTTTCCTATTTCCCTCCCACCTCCATAAGGCAGGGAGTGATCTTTCACTTGGTGAGGACCCTGCAAGACCAATTCTCATTTGTTTTAAAAACACATTTGTCTCTTGGTATTCATTGTGGGGTTTGGTTCCAGGACACCTTGTAGGTACCAAAACCTGAGGATGCTTAAGTGCCTTATATAAAATGCTGCGGTATGTGCATGTAAGCTATGCACATCCTCTCACATACTTTAAATCATCTTTAGATTACTTATTATACCTCATGCAAGGTCTATATATCACTTCATTGGAATTGATTCAACATAGTGCTCAGAACATGGCAAGTTTTGCTTTTTGGAACTTCAGAACATTTTTTTCTGAATATTTTTTATCTGCAGTTGATTGAATCCACACATGCAGAACTCGGATAAAGAGGGCTGACTGTATTTACTAAAAGCTTTTGTAATTCATCTCTGCTTACTCTACCACTGAAGTAATTCATTCTCAACATATCTTTTGTGAAACTCGTTAATCAGTATCTGTGGAATGGGAATAACCATAGCTATTAGAATGTGTACCTTCTACACCCGGTAGCTCTGTCACCATCATGGAGCTGTTTGTTTACTGCAGTTACATGTCTCCTGTCACACTGGAATGCTCATTGTTCTTTTTCCTTCCTTTACCGAAATATAATTGCAAAATTAAATAAATATGTTTTGAAACAAGCCTAAATTGAACAAATTATTCTGAAAAACAAAATAAAAGATAAGTTTTATAAAAATTGAGTAAAATGTGGATGGTAACAACATTTTTTAAAATTATCAAACAGGCCAGGCATGGTGGCTCATGCCTGTCATCCCAACACTTTGGAAGGCCAAAGTGGGCGGATCACCTGAGGTCAGGAGTTTGAGACCAGCCTGGCCAAAATGGTGAAACCCAATCTCTACTAAAAATACAAAAAATTAGCCAGGCATTGTGGCAGGCACCTGTAATCCCAGCTAGTGAGGGGGTGAGGCAGGAGAATCGCTTGAACCCGGGAGGTGGAGGTTGCAGTGAGCCGAGATTGTACCATTGCATTCCAGCCTGGGCAACAAGAGTGAAACTCTCAAAAAAAAATTTTTTTTAAAATTATCATACAAATCTATTATAATAGGAACTCTGAATGATTTTTAAACATTTTTGAATTTACAGGTCACATTTTAAAACTGTAAATCATTTGACTATTTATTTTCATGCATAAGAGCTAATGAAAATTTTCTGTGAAAGGAAACCGACTCTAAATAAAATGTATGATTATTTTTCACACACACACACACACACACACACACACACACACACACACACTGCCCTGTGGAAATATTTTGAAGCACATTTAAAATGTTATTTCATAAAAATAAAATTTAGAAATAAGGAGGACTTAGAACTAATAAAATAAATTATACACTTCCCCTATCAAAAATGAGCTAAAATTATTCTCAAATGAACACACATGCTTTTCAAAGTTTTTTTAAATCAACAATGCAAATATGTTGGAAACAGACAACTAAAAATTTTTTTTAAGTCAAACAAAGACAATTTGGTAAATCTGAAAGCAAGAGGCTGAAATACAGCTTTAGACAGGGTATTTTCTCCCAGCCAAAACTGAAACTTAAAATCATGTTTTAAAATAAGAAACACTGAAAGAGTCAAAGCATCAACCAAGAACTGACCAGGCCCATTATGTTACATGTTTTTAGAGAAGTTGTCTTCTTGGAATAAGTTGAAAAATTATTGTGAATTATTTGGAAATACTATTTCTCAAGATTTTGCCTAGTTCCATGGGATAACCCTATGTGAAAATAAATTTCTCTCATAGTCTTCCAAACAAACAGCGCCACTTAAAAATAATTTATTCAAGTGAACTTCATGCAATGTAATTAACCATTTTAAAGTGAACAATTCAGTGGTATCTTATACATTCACAATATTGGGCAACAACAACCTCTAGTTCCAAAACATTTCCACGATCCCAAGCTGTAAAACCCCTTACTCATTAAGCAGTAATAAGTGTTGGTGAGAATATGGAGAAATTAAGACTCATGCATTGCTGGTGGAAATGCAAAATGTTTCAGCCATAGTTGAAAACAGTTTGACAGCTTTTCAAAACACAAAGTATAGAATTATTATATTACCCTGCTATTCCACTCCTAGTTATATATGTAAAAAGTACCACTTTTAAATTAATACTCTGATATTCAACGCAATAGATATACATTTATAGAAATTATACATTAACAACAGTTAGCAATTGTAACAGTAAGTTAAAATATGTACATGAATTATTTTCAGAGTAAATGCAAGTTAACATTTTGCAGTCACCAGATAGAAAGAACTACTTATATAAAATTGATTTTTAAAAAATCTGAGCAGCAACTGACTCGTCAGCAAATTTGTTGGAAGCTGAAAGACAGAAACTTTTCAACTATTGACAAGGAGTGTAACTCAAGAAGTTGATATACAGCAAGGTGTCAAGAGAAATATAATTACAGGTGTGCAAGAAAGAATAAATCCATCAAATAAAGAAGAAAAGAAACTATGGAGAGCACAAACCTTTGTCATCTGTGTATACCATATAGATGGTCTGTATATGTGTATGCTATTTCCAAAGAGCAAATGTCTTCAAGTTACAAGCACAAAAGAACTTTGAGGTTTCATTCAAATGCCTGTTCAAGCTATGAGGTTTTTTCAACCTTCCTAGACTTTCAAATGACCTCCCAGCACATTCAGTCCAGAATCAGTCGTTACTAACATGCCTAGATCCTACTCACAGCTAGAGCTCTCAGTCAAGGTAAAGCCTCGGGGCCTCACCTGTTCTGCCTGTATCAGGTCAAGGAGTCGGCCCCGAGAGTGGGGAGACAGGACCCAGCATCCTCTGCCTCCCCCAGCTCATGCATTCTTCAGTTTAGCCCACTGTACCCTCAAAGTTGGAGGTGGGAGGGAGGGAAGTTGTCTCCATGTCCTCACCAACACTTGTTATCTTTTGTCTTTTTGATAATAGCCATTCTAACAAGAGTGAAGTGATATCTCATTGTGGTTTTGTTTTGTGTTTCCCTGATGACTAGTGATAATAAGCATTATTTTTCATATACCTGTTGGCCATCTGTCTGTCTTCTTTCCAGAAATGTCTATTCAGGTCTTATGCCCATTTTTAAATTGTGTTATTTATTTTCTTACTATTGAGGTTTCTGAGTTCCTGATATATTTTTTCTATTAATCCCTTATCAGATAATATAGTTTACAAATACTTTATCTAATTCTGTGGGTTGTCCCTTCACTCTATTGATTGTTTCCTTTACTGTGCAGAACCTTTTTAGTTTTGCATAATCTGATTTGTTTATTTGTGCTTTTGTTCCATGGGAGTTTGAGTTTATATCCAGAAAAACATTGCCCAAACCAATGTCACAGAGCTTTTCCCTATATTTTCTTCTAGTAGCTTTACAGTTTCGGGTCTTATATCCAAGTTTAATTCATTTTGAATTGATTTTTGTATATGGTGTGAGAAAAGGGTTCAATTTTGTTCTTTTGCATGTGGATATCTAATTTTTCCAGTATCATTTGTTGAAGGAACAGTCCTTTCCTCAGGTGTGTTTTTGGCACATTTGTCAAAAATCAATTGACTATAAATGTGTGGGTTTATTTCTCGGCTCTAAATCCTGTTCCACTGGTCAATGTGCCTTTTGTAATGCGTGTACCATGCTGTTTTGAGTGTCATAGCTTTGTAATATATTTAGAAAAAAAGTAGTGTGATGCTCCCCTTTTGTTCTTACTGTTCATATAAATCATTTTTTTCTCCAGTTCTGTGAAAAATGACATTGAAATGTGACAAGAATGTCATTAAATGTATAGACCCCTTTGGGTAATATGAAAAATTTAACATATTAATTCTTCCAATCCATGAATATGGGATAGTTCTCATTTATTGGTGTCTTCTTTAATTTCCTACATCAATGTTTTATGTTTTTCAGTGTAGATATTTAACCCTTTTGGTTAAATTTATCCCAAAGTTTTTGTTTGTTTGATTTGACACTATTATAAATAAAATTGTTTTTAAATTTCTTTTTCAGGTAGTTTGATGTTAGTGCATAGAAAAATTATTGATGTATGTTGATTTTGATTTCTGCAACTTTATGTGAAGGCTTTCAATTGTTCTAACAGAGCTTTTGTGGAGATTTTAAGTTTTACATGTTTAGGATCATATTGTCAAGAGGAAAGCAGAATCTGTAAATCTGAAGCCACTTGATTTTTCACAAGTTGGACACAGGCAATTGGAAAATGATACACCTGCAACTAGGTCTGTAATTATAATCCAATTGGTTTGACAAAGTCTCACATCCCTGCATACCCCAAACATTTCCTCTCCCTAAGTCCCTCCTGGTGGTAAGGTACACATCGTTCCACTGAGTTCGTGCATTTCACCATCCTCACTCACCTGGTCTGCCTGCCACCAGGTTTGCACTTCTCCAATCTATTGTCACCAAAGTAATATTTCTGAAATGCAAGACTGATCATTTTCTACTGTTTGTAAACATCTGGGTCACAGAAAGCAAGGAATTATTCCACAAAATAAAACAGGAAAGAAGGCACGATTAGAATATTTGCCACTCCTGCTTGGTCAATTGTCTGACCTTTGCTCTTGCTGTGCCTTTTCCCAGGCATAATCACATCCCTGACAAAGTCCCTCCCCCTTCCCCAGCCATGTGTAGTTATCTGAGGGGAACAGCTAGGCACCTTTAACACTGAGCTCCTGGGGCTGCACTCAGCATCTTCTGCTTGATTGAATGTGCACAGCACAGGAAGAAGCGAGGTGCCAGAATGAGCTATACCCTTTCCACATGTGCATCAAAGCATTTCATACACTTTATAGCACCTATTTGCACACAGAATTACTAGTTCAAATTTCTTGGGGAAAGCAGTATGTAGTATTCACCTTTGAATTTTCTTTAGTGAATATTTTAGATTTAATATAGCATAACAAATATTTACTGGATAAATGAACAATTGGATATTTGATACTCTACCTCTTCTTATTTGTCTAATAAATTACATACTTCAAAACTCAGCTCAGATGTCACTTTGTGCTGGAAATCTTCTCTAAAGCTTCTTTTCACCCCAGGCTAATATGTTTTCCACAGTCTCTTAACGGAATTCGGGATTCAAAACCCAGCACTTGATGAAGACTGTTAACCTCAATAACAGACCTTAATCTTTCAGGAACCAACCATGTGGGCCAAGACAGCCTCCAATAAGGGTGGACAAATGGCTGGATTGTCTCAGCAGTGAATAACTACATTGCAATCAGCAAGTTTTCTAAGATATTATATCATGTGTACTGCTCAAAAAAGGTGGGAGGGAGGGGACATATTTTAATTATTTATTTAAAATTAATTTCAATTTTACAGAAAATTAGCATAAATAAAAGTAGTACAAAGAACATCTATATGAACCCTTTTTCTTCCTCATTTCTCCCTCTCTCTCAATTTTATGCCTTATAACCTTTATCCTCTAAGTAGTATCATTATGTATTCCCAGAATATGAAAATATCCTATAGAATTAGAAAGTAGTTATGAACTTCAGTAACTGTAACATCAATATAATATGACTGAATAATGCATTTTGAAGTGAGACGGAGTGTAAATTGAAAAGTTTCTAGTACAGGAAAGCGATTTCTAAAAGAGGTGTGAAAATGAGATCAAACACCATGGCAGTCTTGGAGTCTGGGAAATAACACTGGTATAACATTCTCATATGTGAAGTGCAGAGAGAAGGAAAAGTAAATTACTCTCAAAATGGTCTACTCCATAGCTTTTTGAAAGGCAGGTTCCACTGTTAACATTTTCTTCAGAGCCCCCATGACATCCTTATTCCTAAGACTATAGATTAAAGGGTTCACCACTGGAGTGAGGATGGTATAGAAGACAGATACCATCATGTCCTTCTCAGGGGTGTGGTAGGAGCTGGGGAGCATGTAGGTGTAGATGGCAGCCCCATAGAAGAGGATGACCACAGTCAGGTGGGAGGAGCAGGTGGCAAAGGCCTTTTTCCGGCCCTCTGCTGAGTTCATCCCGTGGATGGTGAGGAGGATGAGTAAATAGGAGCTTGAAATGATCACCACAGGGATGAGGAGCATGAGGACACAGCACAAGTACATGAAAATCTCATAGAGTGAGGTGTCTGAGCAGGAGAGATTCAATACAGCAGGAACTTCACAGAAGAAATGATGAATCTCCCGGGATCCACGGAAGGGGAAGGTCATGGTGATGGGAGTGAATGTGAAGCCATCCACTGAGCCCAGGAACCAGCAGCCTGATGACAGGAAGAGACACACCCTATGGTTCATGAGGACAGGGTAACGGAGAGGATGGCAGATGGCCACGTAGCGGTCATAGGCCATGGTGGCTAGAAGGAAAAATTCTGAACCTGCTAGTGTCACGTAGAAGAACATCTGCATCCCACACTCAGGGGCTGAGATCTTATTCACACCCATGACCTGGTCCAGGAGCATCTTGGGCACAGTGACAGAAATGTACGCCATGTCCATGAGAGACAATTGACTGATGAAAAAGTACATGGGGGTGTGGAGGTGGGCGTCACAGTGTATCAGAAGGATCAGGACAGCATTTCCAGACAACGCCATCAGGAAAACCACAAAAATGACCACACAAAGTAGTGCTGGATGTTTGGATTGTCTGAAGAGTCCCAACAGGATGAAATCCGACCATCCAGTGTGGTTGGCCATCCAGGTGATATTGGCCATTGGATGTTTGGATTGTCTGAAGAGTCCCATCAGGATGAAATCCGACCATCCAGTGTGGCTGGCCATCCAGGTGATGTTGTCCATGAGGTTTCACCTAGGCCACAAAGGAAAGCTTGGGGTTAAAGTAATTTGAGCCTCTGAAACAAATTGTGTGTGTGTGTGTGTGTTCTAACCAAAGAAAGGCCCATGGGCCTGTAGATTTGGGTGTTATAAATTATCTGCAATTCAAAAAATTTACCAGGAACTAAGAATTCACAACTGTGGATCAAAAGGGTGATTTGTAGTGAAGTTGCCACAGTTCTGAGTCATGAGATTTCCCGATGAGAGTGTCTGTTATAAACAAGTCCTGGAAACTGGCAGTGTCACTGCCTTATGCAGACATGAATAGTGAATTATTGAAAACAAAGGAGAATTTTGTCCCCCTGTTTTTAGAGTTGTTTAGAGAAGTCTAAAGTGAATTACATTCTCTGGTTTAAGGATCCATCTGGAATCTTAAAAACTCCCAAAAGTGTATTCCATATAGGAATGATTTAGAACATGACTAAAATATCACTTGTGGAAAATCCATACCAAACATTTGCACCCTTCTACCCACAGTATTGGACAATGCTGTGAGGCTCTGTGGTTTCGTGGAGCAAAACCCCACACATCCCCATGAGCAAGCCAGGGTCCTCCTACACACCAGACTCCTCAGAAACCAGAGTCGCATGG
Source organism: Homo sapiens (assembly GCF_000001405.40). NCBI lineage: Eukaryota > Metazoa > Chordata > Mammalia > Primates > Hominidae > Homo > Homo sapiens. The sequence continues at coordinate 248,360,953 of NC_000001.11, read as the reverse complement.
GGTGAGGAGCCCAGGGACCGTGGCTGGACTGCAGGGTGGACCCAGCTTCCCCTCTACCTGCTATTCCTCTGTTTACTGCACATAAAAATAGATGGTAAGAAAAGGTTTGACCTCAGGGTTGATGAAGATTAAATGCAGAAAAGTAATGAAAGTGCTTAGAATATTACCAGTTACAAATGAACAAATACATACACTGTCAAAGAGTTAATATCTACACAAATTATTCTGCAGACTGTATTACTATAATCATCTTATGATATGAGCTTCATTACTTCAGTTTGCTGATTTTATCATTTAGTCAGACTTGTAAGAATTTGGATTTGATAATTTCTCTAGTCCCAGACAACTTGTATGTATACAGTTTACATTTATTTTATATAAATTTATAGATATGCATTTTTATATATGTGCAGATTTACAAATATAAGAATACATTGTATATGCATATTTACAAATAGAAATGCATATATTAATGTAAGGTATGTCTCTTATTTTCATGTTGAGCAGAGATTTATGCAGAATCCACCTTCTTTGTGACTAGTGCATGCTTCTCCAAGCTTAACTCCTTAAAGCTCCTGTCATTCGCATTAAATCTCAGGGGGGCATAACTGGGATTTAGAAACTCCCTGCTATTTACCAGGTAAGGCTTTTGGTGTTTTTGCAAATATCTGCTTTATTGCCTGCTACAGTGAATTTTTTCACGGAAACTGTGAGGCAGAAAAGAAAATAAAACACTAAGATGTCTCTCACTTCAATTAAATTCCTTCCTCTATCTTGCTACTCACAGCCTGACTCTGTGTTAGCTAGTGCAGGAATCAAAGACAAATTATATTTGATTAAGCTTGAGGAGGTCACAGTCAGTCTATTCAGGAAAAAACATATAAACATGATTTAAAGTACAACTTCAGATTAGAATAGCTATGAGCTACATTAACAAGGCTAATAGAAGCAAAATACATTTAACCTTTCTGAAGAGAATCACTGATAACTCCTACATTTTCTCTTAAGAAGATTAAAACTTTGCAACTTTTCGATTTCTGACATGTTGTTAAATTTTAGTATTTATCAATAGGAAGAAAATATAGGGTCCTTTTTCAGGGAAGACTTTAGCAGTGGTTATCATACAGTCATATTTCAGGAAGAATTTCCAAGTTTCAAATACATTTTGAATTCTTTTAATAATTCTAATTAGACTTATTAATATTTTCAAGTTTTGGAGAATAATAATTAGATGCGGAGACTGGGCAGCTGTTTGCTAAGTGAATGGAGGGAGACCAAGAGGGCAGTGCGGGATGGGAGGTGGATGCTGGGCAAATCTCTGCTGCACTTTTGTAAATGGAAGTCCCTGTCATTAAGCCACGCTGAACAGCTGACCTGGGACACCAGATCAGTGAGGGAAAACTGTGACTGCAGCATGCAGCACAACTGGACTTTTTCTTTCTTTTATTTTTCTTGATCACATTGCTTGAGTTTCCAAACAGCACAATGCATGTTTAACCCAGGGAATAATTAATAGTGGTGGTAGGGCAATATTGAGCATTTATGTGAAGCTTACAGTATCCTAGGAATTGTTCTTAATGCCAGTTTACCACATTTAATTTTCCTCAAGAACCTATGAGGTATATAATCTAATTTCACCATTTACAGATTTAAAAGTTCAAGTTCTGGGGTATCTATCTAACATCACACAGCTAACCCCATGGAGTAAGTACATCGGTGCAGGTGCGGGACCCAGAGCATGTCACTTACCTCAGTTCTCTTGGGGACACAGTCCTGCTTCCGTAGACTAAAATTTGGGTTTTAGATAACTCACTATTGGTTTCACCAGGGAAACATAAATATGATTGAAACATTTGTTGCTAGTGTTTTCTAACTCTAAGACCTAATTTCCATTCAAAGAAAAATTAGTTGTTTTTCCTCTGCAAAATTTTCATCCCACTAAAACAAATGTATCATTCAATAACAGAGGAAGAATATATATGATTTTGTCCATAAATACTTTGGAAATGAAAAACCCGTTTACTAATATGTTGCAGTAAATAAGTATTATATAAAATGAGACTCAAAGGAAAAATAAAACAGATTGGCTTTTCTCCATAAAAATAGATGATAGAGGGAAATGAGGAAATACAGTCAAGAACTAATAGAAATGTTTCAAAAGCAGAACAAGTCAAGAACCGTGACCATCTTTTGTTCCTGCAATACTGTCTACCTATCTGGTGTAACTCACCATCAGATGATGTCTTGACCCTCATTTGGAGGGGCTCATGGTGTGTGGCTGGCTTAAGTGTGCAAAGAAAAACAAAAGTGACATCATCCCTGGCTTCACTGTGTCCATTAGGGGTGTAGATAAAAGTTTTCTGTTAATAAGTCCTCTCTGGGGTTTTGAAGACGAATGCAAATAAAGGAGCTAAAGAAGCTAATAGATATCTCTGTTGCCCTTTTCTGATTTTCTTCTCATTTTTTTTTAAGCGACAGAATCTTACTATGTTGCCCAGGCTGGAGTGCAGTAGATTTTTACAGGTGAGATCACAGTGCACAAAGGCCTCGACCTCCTGGCCTCAAGTGAACCCCCTCCACATCACTCTCCTGAATAGCTGGTACTACAGACACACACCACTGTGCCCAGCTGTTTTGTTGTTGTTATTTAATCTTCTTTTATTGTTAAACTGAAAATCTCAACAAATATTAACAATAATCTCAAAGTTAGCCATTACTAATGAATTTTTACCTATGATATATGAGTTAGTTATATATGGCCTTTTGTGTTTTACACAATATTTTCATGTGTATGTGCCTCCTCCTTTAAACTTTAGGAAATTTTTATAAAATATTGCTATTTGTGTTCCAATCTTTCACAAATATAGGCTTTGAAACTCAGAGTTCAGTTGATGTGTCAAAGAGAGTATCGCTGATCAGTAATGAACTCCATACTAAAATTGAGGTTGTCTTTTTCACATCTTCATTGCTATCACTCTTCATTAGCTTGTTATGTTCTTTCTTCTGTTATTCACCTGCAAGCTCTGTTACTTTAGTGATGCATTTAATTTTAAAGTTTGTTTTTATTTTAAATATTGATATGACTAAAAAATCTAAAATCACAGTCTAGTACAAATAAAATTTAAAAATCAACCATAATGTAATAGTTCAGATAGAAACAAAACTTTAAAATTCATGTCTTGACTTCATACTATGAATATTTATGAAGTGTACACCATGTAGCAGACAGTTGGAATAAAATAGGTAACTAGGTGGAAGCAACTCCACCCTCTTGGATCTTGCAGACAAGTATTTCTGAACCGTTTTCTGTGCGTGTGTTCTAGAATGATGTTGATCATGTTACCATGTCACGGAAGTCTTTTCATGAAAACGTTTGTCCAGATGGTGTCTGTCTTCTGTTTGTTGGGCCCACACTTTAGGGCTGGTGTCTCCGCTGACTTCTAGGGCTTCAGCCCGCAGAGAGCTTGTCCTGACTCCTGTGCTACCTGGTTTCCTGTAAGGCTATGAGAGGGCAGGCCCTGGTGGAACACTGGAGAGCAGGAGAAAGAAGGAAACTGTGTCTTATTTCCTGCTTCTGGTGATGATCTGTGGCGGCAGCAGCAGCAACTGCAGGCAGCAGGGGTCCTGAGGGAGTTGTGGGCTTACAGTCAGTTTCAGCTGCATTTGTGGGGATGCAGGGCATCTAAGTTGCCGCATATCAGCATGGGAAAGTCACACAAGCAGCCCTGGGCGTGCGGTCTCCATCAGCTCAGCACTGAGGAGCATATGAGGCGCCACTGGTGACAACTCCTGGTCTGTGAGTGATAACACTCGGCTCCTTGCTGCATCAGCCTTCCCTCCAGCCCTTTGTGCCACCCTGTAACCACTTTTGTACATTAAATCTATTCTATTTAAAATAGGTTAAGTGTATATATGTGACTAGACATTGATATCCTATCAAATTAATTATACCACAATTAAAATCCAAATAGTGGTTATTTAGGTTGTGTTCAAATTTCTAAGTGATAAATTGTTTGACATTTTTAATAGCTTATGTACAAAGGATTCTCTTTTTATTGTATATATTTAAGGTATGCAACATATTTTTATATACATAGTGAAATTATTACTATTACTACAGTCAAGAAAATAAGCATGTCCATCTTTACTTTGTGTGTGTGTGTGTGTGTGTGTGTCTACATGTGCTAAGAGCACCTGAAACCTACTCTCTTGGCTACTTCCCAGTGTACAATACAATATTATTAGCTATAGTCATCAAGCTATACATTAGATCTCTAGACTTATTTATCCTACACAACTGCAACTTTTAACTCTTTGACCAACATTTCCGTATACTCTCCCCCGCCACCTTTCCCAGATAGCATTCTCTAAGTGTGTTTTTTCCTAAAGTGATTTGCAAGAAGATACAAAGTTTTCAAATTTCTTAATATCCATAAACTAAATTCCCTGTCCAAAAATGTTTTCAACTTGTGTTACAGCATCACAGCAATAAACTTTACATGTACCAGGACTGAATTCTATGCACTTTTCCGTCTTAGTCAATTTGATAGGTGCATCATTGTTCAATGTGCCTTTTTGATTACTAATGTTTACATGACTTTTGATGTGTTTAACTGTTGCTTTGTGAAATATCTGTCAAATCCTGTGCGCATTTTTTCTATTTCCACATGTGTATGTGCATATATATTTATATTTCATGTGTATATATTAATAATTTTTTCTACTTTATTAAATTTTATTGTATTTTAAGTCCTGGGATATATGTGCAGGATGTGTGGGTTTGTTGCATAGGCAAAAGTGTGCCATGGTGGTTTGCTGCACCCATCAACCCATCATCTAGGTTTTAACTCCCGCATGCATTAGGTATTTGTCCTAATGCTTTCCCTCCTCTTTCCCCCAACCCCCTACCTGGTTTTTATTTCTGTAGCTTATAAACAAATCTTGATGTTACTGAAGATGTGTTATCTTGTGTCATTATTTTATTTGCTTTTACAGTATTAAGCATTCCAGGCTGGGCACAGTGGCTTATATCTATAATCTTACTATTTGGGGAGGCTGAGGTGGGAGAATCACTTGAGTCCAGGAATTTGAGACCAGGCTGGGCAACATAACAAGACCCCATCTCTACAAAAAAAATTTAAAAATGTGTTGGGTGTGGTGGCGCATACTTGCAGTCCTTGCTACTCAGGAGACTGAGCTGAGGAGTTCTAGGCTGCCATGAGCTATAATCTCACCACTGCACTCCAGGCTGAGTGACAGAGCCAGACCCCATGTCAAAAAAAAATGCATTAAGCATTCTTTATGCTTTATTTTCCATCGTAAGCTACTTAAATCTTGGCTTTGTTTTTAAAAAATCACAATTTTGTGCTTTAATTCCATGTTATTATTGATAACTTATTTATAACTAAAAATAATATTTAACTTGTTTGGATTATTTTCTTTATTCTGGACCTTTCTGAGAATTTGTTTGGTATAAATGGGCTTAGGCAGAATTGCTGACTTCTAATTGATATGAAAATATAAATTTCCTAGACACCAGCAGATTGCTCTTCAAGATATCAACACCACGAAACCCTGTCTCTACTAAAAATACAAAAATTAGCTGGGCATGGTAGCATGAACCTGTAATCCTCGCTACTTGGGAAGCTGAGGCAGGAGAATCGCTTGAACCCAGAGGGCGGAGGTTGCAGTGAGCTAAGATTGTGCCACTGCACTCCAGCCTGGATGACAGAGTGAGACTTTCTCAAAATAAAAAAAAAAAAAAGAAAGATACCAACATCAGATCATGTTTTCAAATGTAGTTCCAAGCGTTCTTATTCATTCACATCTTTTGCACCATTTAGCATTATTCAGCTCCTGAAATGTTGCTAATTTATTGGATCTAAAGTAATATTTTATTTTGTTTAATTGCCCTTTCTCTGATTACAAATTAAACTGGGCATCTTAAGTAATTCTCTGATTAAGTAATTAATTCTCTGATTAAGTAATTATCTGATTACTAATTAAAATGGGCATCCTAAGATGTGTAGGAATACATTGAATATTTTAGGTTTTATTGGCTTATTTGTCTCTGAGATGCAAATTATCTTCTTTCAATTTGTATTAGTATGTTGTTTGCCCATGATGTCATTCACTAGATAAATATTATTAATTTTTATGTAATTAAATATATTTCATTAATCTTTTGCTGTTGAAGTTATGTGTCCCTTCCACTTTATGAGAAAGAGATTATTTTCTATTACGTTCAAGTAACTCTATAGCATTACGTTATGTATTTAAGTCTTAATCTGAAGTCTAGTTTCTATATATTTTTAAATAGAAATATAATTTTTTTCTTTAGTTGTTGAGCAAGTTTTTCCTACATCGAGTAATAGCATGTTTTGTTCTTTCAATATAAAATTTCTCCTTTATTAGATACTGTTTCATATATTGTAAGTTGACTTTTGAGAGCAATAGTGTCCCAACTGTTTCTCTATATTTGATTATAGAGATGTGTATATTACGATGTATCAGGATGATGTTATAAATATGACTTTATGTTATATAGCAATAGGTATTAGGAAAACTACTCATCTTTGTTCTTTACTTTTCAACATTTACTAAGTTATTTTGGACATTTATTATCTCTTAGTTAATTTATAATAAGGAATAATGTAGTAAGCTGTATTAGGTCTTTAAAATAAATATTTAGAAATTTGTATTGAGTGGAATTTACAAGGTTATATTGTGATCCCATCCTTGAATACAGAATGCCTACTTTTTCCAATATTCTAGTAAGTCTTTTATTACACTTTTAAATTGTATCTATTGAGGCAGATTTTTGCATTCTATGTTATATTAATTTTTATATATTATACACTTGTTTTTGTTATCAAGTACTCTATTATATGTTTCTCAAATCATTATCGCTGGCATAGAAAAAATGTTACATAATTTTATAGACTGGTCTTGATAAACTATCTTCTTGGTTTAATAGAGTATCTGTTAATTTAGTGTTTTTCTCTAAAAGACATTCATCAAAATTTTAAGCAATTGTGGTCATAGTGATCATTCCCATCTTAATTCTAATTGTAAAATAAATGTATCAATCTTTATGTAAACTTTGGTACCTTAAGTACATGCATGCACTGCATAAGAACATTTCTGTCCAGAATGGACCACATGTACGAAGTGGCCCCATAAGAATATAATGGAGCTGCCCTACACAGGTATACACATCATTTTATGTCATTTATACCATATTTTTCTTGTACCTTTTCTATGTTTAGGTATGTGTGTGTATATATATATATATATATATATATATATTTACAGTGGTTTTATAATTATGTACAATATTCAGTATAGGAACATTCTGCACAGGTTTGTAGCCTAGGAATACTAGGCCATACCATATAGCCTAGATGTGTAGTAGGCTATGTCATCTAGGTGTGTGTAAGTACATTCTATGATGCTCACACAATGACTTAATTATCTAACAATGCATTTCTCAAATATATCCCATTGTTAAGCATCACCGGACTTTATTTCCATTCTTTGTCTAGTGTTCTATGACTTATTATAATATATATATATATATAGAATATTACCAAGTTATTTTCATTTTATGCTAAGAAAGCCATATGAAATTCCTCTTTTTGCCTAGTACTATGATAATTTGCACTGATGGACATGGATCCTTAAAATTCAAATTTATGTTTTTGGCTCCTGATATATATCAAATAGTATGATATTATCTCTCAAAAGTGACATTTTAAATGTAGTATTTTGCTTATTGTTTTATGTCTAAATCTATTTTTACCTATTTTGGGTTTTGAGGCACTTTGATGTTTCTAAAGATTATAAAAATCTTCATCATTTTATGACCTGTCTCCTTAAAACTAGTCAGGTTTTTGTGACTGTTTGAGCCAATACAATATACTTTGTAACTTCCAAGACTAGGTTATAAAGATGAAGCAACTTCTGCTTCACTCACTAGAACAGCAATTCCTAAAACTTTTAGCGATCATGTAAAGTAGTCTTCCTAAACTTAGGCCACCACGTGGTGAAAATTTCCAAGCCACAGGAAGAAACTATAAATAGGTGCTTTGTCTTTCCCTTGTGTCTTCCCTTCTGTCTTCCCCTTGTGAGGTTGTTTCTCTCCTAACACATTTTTATGTCCTCATCTCTAAATTCTACTGATACCCTGAGTCATGACATTGAGTATCAGTGGACTTTAGAGAACATAGATAATTATATATAATCTAATATACATATACACATATATAATTCTACTACATATTAATATGTAATATTATATGTTTTATATGTATATATGTACATATCTACATTTACATACCCACATGGTAGCACATTGTTAGAACAATCGTCTTTAGCATGCATATGGGAAACAGGAGGTAATAGGAATACATTTGTTAAAGTTGAATAAAACCAAAATTTAAATTTACTCCAAATCTCCTTCTTTAGAGAATGCAATTTATTGGTTTCATTCTGTGATATAATATATATACATCCTATATATGTAATACCTAATATGTATTTGCACATATTTATATATGTAAGTACTTAAATACATAAATATTACATATATCTACATATACATATTACATATGTAAATATAGAGTATGTAAATATGTATATAAACATATGCAATATAGTTATATATGTAATGTTATGCATAATATTTTGCATATATAAGATGTGTGTGTATATATATATATTTCAGGATGTAACCAATAAATTGCATTCTCTAAAGAAGGAGATTTGGAGTAAAATTAAATTTTGGTTTTATTCAACTTCTAACAAATTTATTCCTATTGCCTCCTGTTTCTCATATACATGCTAAAGATGATTATTCTAACAAAGTGCCACTGTGTAGGTTGATGAGATAATGTGTAAGTTTGGAGAACCATGTTGGACTCACAGTGGAATTCATAGAAAGACATTGATTTCCTAAATCCCCATGTTCTTCAAATGAAACTGAACATATGTGGTGAAATTTTATTGTTGGAGCCAACATTATAGTTGTATCAATGAGCCTGGAATGAAATTTAAGAGTTTTAGAGAAAATTCAAAACTGAAATTTCACTTTGTTATATGTATTCAAAGAAAAGTGTAAAGGTTGAGGCTAAACCTCCCTAATCTTTACCCTCAATGGAGTGACTGTCACTTCTGGATGAAACATATATTCAATAAACACAAACAACAATAAAAATAAGCAAAAACAAGAGAAGTTAAAAGATGAAGCTTACATGGCAATAAACAGCATCAGGAATCCAAAATATGGCTGTTTCCAAACTGAGTACTATTGACTATCTTGCATTATATTTCTAAACTCAGAAACTCATTTGCTCAATGAGGGAGCATTATTATCCATGACATGAAGTTATCAAAGTGTTGCCTAAGATAATGCATTTGAAGAACGTTGCACAGTTCTTGTTGCAATATGCTAAAGATTTTACGGTTTAAAATTGCTGATACAAATGCGCACATTGTATCAGGATACATACAGGATACAGGATAGTAGAATTGCATGAGCAACAGACATTCAGAATCTGACATTTTATATTTTCATTTAGGGCGATATTGATCATTCACAGCACTCACTGGCATCATTGATCCCCCCATTTTTTTTGCAGGTGTGGGGAAACTGTCAACACCCTCGCCTCTGCAGGAGGTATGGCCATGTAACGCATTGGGCCAAATGACTGGGACAGGCAGCAAAACCAGTGTGCACTTTTCCGTGTTCTCTTCATTTGGGTAACCAGTTCCTGCCTGTGGAAATTTACCTTCCAATACTCAAAATAAATGAATATCATTTTCTGAAAGTTAAAACTCCTTTATGACTTCCTTTGTTTTCAAATGTACATTAGGATTTCATTTCACCTGAGTGCTTTATCCTTTAATTGTGATGACCCTTGAAGTCATAATGTATATTCAAATCTTTATTTCAAATATATATTTTACATTACTCATTATTAACTCTTATTGTCAAAATGAAGACTTGGGTTGCTTTTTAAATATTATCAATTGTTCATTTGCTTGTGAGCTCAAGGGTCTCTTTCCACAGCAGATGCCAAAACAGTCAGGTAAGGCATGCAGGGGGATACTTTGGGTTATTTCCATATTCACAAAAGAACTCATAAACGTGATGTGTTCAGCTCTAAGATGAAATAGTCGCTTAGGCTTTGAGGTGGGTGCTCCCATCACCTTTTCCAACTGGCATTTTTTTGGTCAACGCTTAAAATCATGTTTCAGTGTGACTGGCTTCTTATCTTGCATTTTATTTTTCAAGGATATACAGTACAGAGAGCCCTGCTTACGATCTGAATTTGAAAGATACTATAAACTAGAAGTAAACCTTTGTTATATTATCCTACTAAGAATTTGGGATTACTGATTATTGCAATATAAGCTACCAGATAACGGCTGTTACTATTGGCCATCAAAATAAATCTTTCAGATACATGACACCATCACAAAACAAGACAATACTATTAACTCCTCAAAGGCCTTAATGGATGTATGGAGAAGAAGTTGATAATAAATTGGAATATAGGGTGTGAGCCACTTAAAACAGATAATAAAATAAATGTATCCCCAAAGCACTTGAATGCATTTTTAGTAAAATCGTGGGCTGATAAGTATGATGTATCTAGAGCTTTTCTTTAACATAAAAGGGAAGCTATGTAAAGTGTTACTAATCCCCTCATCTATGACCTGACAAATCCACTCATCTTTTCACAGTATGCATTTCACTCATATTCTTATGGTCCTCCAAAAACATACATTTCTCATATTTAACTTTGAATGAATGCACAACTGAATGTTTTCATTTCTTCTATAATACTAAATATGGCTTTTGAAAATTAATTGACACCATTTTTATTTTGGACTTACCAAAAGTTGAAGAGTGGATGAATATAGAACAGAACTTTAACACAAAATACTTTTAAAGATAATATTTTAGGCTTTATGATTTTTTTTAGTGAGTCATTAACTTGAAAACATGTACTATTAGAATTGTCTTCTTCATAACACCAGATTTTTTTACCCAATGGCATATTAAAATTATTCAAAAACTTTTGAAAGGAAATATCGATTTTGATACATGATGCATTTTAGTAGCCTTATTTATTAAATTTACACCAATTTTATCTAATAACCACAATCAATTATTACAACTTATTCCTGAAAACATGAATATCACAAAACAGCCTAGGGTGAGCCTCTCGGGTTTCTTACACATTTTCTGAATAAAAAATTCTCTTCATGATTTTCTTGATGGCCACCTTTATTTGCTTATTTCTAAGACTGTAAATAATAGGGTTAAAGAGGGGAGGCATTATGGAATAAAAACCAGAAAGGATCAGATCCTGGGTGGCTGCAGGTATCGCAGGTGGCCTGAGGTACACAGAAGAGCATGAACTGAGGAAGACTGACACCACCAGGATGTGAGGGATGCAGGTGGAAAAGGCCTTTGTTCTGTCTGCTCCTCTTGGAAACCCGAGCACGGTCGAAAAGATGTGAATGTAAGACCTGATGATAAAGATGAAACAGCCGCCACCTACCCCCAGAGCAGAGACAACAATCATGACCTCATTGCTGAAGGTGTCAGAGCAAGAGAGCTTCAGCAGAGAGGGGATGTCACAGAAGAATTGATGAATAACGTTGGACCGACAGAAGGGCAGCTGGAATGTGCTGCCAGTGTGCATGCCTGCATAGACAAGACCACTGAGTAGGGAGGCCAGTGTCATCTGGATGCAGATTCGAGAGTTCACGATCACAGGGTAGTGAAGTGGCTGGCAGACAGCCACATAGCGGTCATGAGCCATAATGGTGAGAAACAGAAGCTCCACATATACAAAAAAAACCACGAGGAAGACCTGAGCTACACATCCCGCCTTAGAAATGGTGGTGCTGTCCAGTAGGGAATTGACACATGAGGTAGGGACTGTAACAGAAATGTAGCAGGCATCCAAGATAGACAGATTCCTGAGGAAGAAGTACATGGGCATGTGAAGGCTGCTGTCACAGGTGGTGACGGTCACAATGAGGATGTTTCCCATTAGAGTTACCAAATACAACATAAAGAAGGATGCAGAATGTAAAATCTGTAGTGTCCACACATCAGAAAACCTCATGAGGAGAAATTCCATCACGGTGGTTGAATTGGGCATCGGTGGATGATGAAGCTTGGACCTGGGAAACAGAAATCCTGAACACTCACGAAGAATCAAATGATGGAAAGATGGTTCTTAAATATCGTAGTCTTGATCCCTTTCTAGTTGTAATCTACATTGTTGGTCCTTACATTTTTGAAGGCAACTCAAGTGGTCCTCTATGAACCTACATAATATTCTTTATATTCAAATTGGGCAGATGCTTTGTTGTTGTTTCTGTTGTTTAGAAGTTGTTCAAAATTAAATTTTATGCAACTTAGTGTCCTCCATGGGTCAGATAAAGTTATTTACTTATATTTGATATTAAATAAATATTTTAATAAGTTATTTCACTCAAATATACTTATCGCTAATTATTTATCAATACAGATTCTGATACAGAGAACAAAACTGTTCACCCACATCATGAAGATATTGTCTTTATATGCTTAAGAATTGAATGAACAAATGTATGTTCTGGATAGTTTCTTGAGGTTCTTTAGATAGAGGGGAAATACACAATAATTTGTAGTGATTAAAATCCTAGCTTTGATTTTTAGTTAGCTACTTCAAAATACTGGTCTCCATCATAGTGTGAAATGGGCATTTTAGTTACAGGCTTAGTCTCCATTCCTTTATAGAACTCTAAAAAATGTTCTTTCTGTCATAGTGCTTCATCAGGATGAGATAAGATTTATAAAATCCTTAGGAAATTGTCTAGGACATCATGAATGTTCCTTAACTGTCTCTTGTTATTATTTTCAGAAACATCGATATTGTTATTGGTATGTAGGAATATTTTGAGGGCACATACTACTACCAGACATGTTCTAGATAAAATTCACATATCAATTTAAGACTCTCAATAATCCTGAAAGTTAGTATTTTATTCCCTTTTCACAGGAAGCAAAAACCTGTCCAGATTGAACAGCTACTCTTTCACCACAGTCATCCACCTCGTGTGCTTATTCTGTACCAGTTGCATTCAGCAGATAACTTGGAGACTGTGCCCAGTTGAATGACTCTGTCAGTTTTCAAATAACAGGATCAGGAAAAATAACTAGTGGCTACTAGGATTAATACCTGGGTGATGAAATAATCTGTACAACAAACACCCGTGACACAAGTTTACCTATATAACAAACCTGCACATGTACCTCTGCACTTAAAATAAAGGCTAATTTTTAAAAAAAGGGGGAAAAAAGAATGGCTTCATATTTTCATGATGATGAGCTAATGATAATTTTTCCTTATACTTTTATGTTGATGATCCAATTAGAATTTTACCATCTATAAGTTTCATGTATTATTGTATTAGGTAAATACAGTATGTGTCCAAAATATTTTTAAGCAGGACAAATTATCACATGGAAGGTTCAGCAGAACCTTCACTGTAGAAGAGGGAGACAGGAGGCTTGGGCTGTATCACTCCCACTTACCAGCCATGTAAAGTTGGCAACATTCTTCACCCAAGGAAAATTCCCTCCATCTGTAAAAGCAGAATCATGGTGTGTACTACTGTGATCAATTTAAACAATATGGGCTCATTCAGTGACGTAGTCCTTGATTCACTGATTGTTCAATCAATATATACACCTAATGCTGCTATCACAGGAGTTTTGTGAATAAATGAAACAGAATAAGTGCCTAAATCTCATGAAATTTAAATTTTATTAGAAAAGACTGACACTGAACTGTTAAACATGTGAGAAAGAATAAAATATTCCAGAAAGTTTTAAGTGCTTTGACAAAAACTCACAAGGTAATATGCTGGATGAGAAAGGGTGTGTGTGGCTGAGGGAAGAACGGGAGTTGATTAGTTAAGTGGAAGTGCTTGGAAGCCAGCAAACTGCTATGAAAATATAACACATATTGTCACTCTCATTCCAAACTAAGGTTTTCTGTTTGCTTTATGTAAAGAGAAGCACACTGTGTATCTGTTGAGTTGATTTAATAAATTATACTAAACTTGGTATTTCCAAACCAAATAATAATTTGCACTTTTGCTACTCTGACTTGACTTCTCCACACATTAGTTTGAGAGACTGAATTATGAAGCTAGAATAAAACTTAAAACACTGGTTGACATAATAATCTAACCCTGAGAGAACTAAGATTATGACAACAAATAATGCTTTTAAAATTTGATTAATTTTTAGTCTAAAATTTTATTATTCTAAAGATTTTTCTTCTTGCTAGTAAAAGTCTGAATTGGCAAATCTGAAGACTTATGCTGATAGATATATCAATCGATTGATTGTTAGACAGATAATAGATAGACAGATAGATGATAGATAGATAGACAGATAGACAGATACATAAAATTACAAGGGAATCCCTTGTAATATCAATTAGTATACCTTAAAGTTTTGATACTCTGCAAGTATTTTTTTAAGTTTTAACTGGAACACTTTCGAATGAAGCCACAATTTGTTTTATTGAAACATTACCACTATAACTATACTGCTTATAAATCTCTGCATTTATAGAAAATAACCTTATATTCCTTTCATTTAAGAGCTAAAGAGTTGTTATGACTAGGAAAGTTACTACAACCGGCCCCCATTGAAAGAAGAGGTGTAGACTGAGCACACCCAGTATATGGAAATCCATGATTAGAGAAGAAAGCCTAGTATATGGAATTCAGTAACATTTATTAAGATTGAATATTGTGTTGCTATTTGCATATATACAAACATTTGTGCCTGTATTTTGAATAAATTATAATTTTGCTCTACATGTATAATTCTTATATCCCAGATTTAAGCAACCTAGCTATTTTTCTCCATAGGAGCAATATTTATTGATAATCAAAATAAAGAAATAGAGTTTGCACTTCAAAGTTTTATGAATGTTGTAGTCATTCACCATCAGTAAACAGTTTGTTTTTTAAATAATTGATCTAAACAAATCACATTAGTTTTGTCAAAATAGATCACTCGACCTGGTAAGAAGTACTTATATTTCTGTGCTTTTATATGTAGATGTTTGAAGTCTTCTGAAAATGGACTTCTGCTAGCACAACCTTAAATCTCTGTAAATATATTAAAGTTGGTAAAATGCTACACATTACCACAAGTTGAAGTCTTTAAACATTTGAAATATTTTATTTCTTCTATTTTGTTATTTATGATATAAACTCTGGTTTAAACTTTATTTTGTTGATTAAAGGGTCAATTCGTCAATAAGATATAACAATTGTAAATGTTTATGCACCTAACATCAGAGCACCTAAATATGTAAAACAAATATTAAAGGATTTAAAGGAAGATCTAGACTGCAGTACAATAATAATAGGGGCCTTAAACTTGACTTTCTATGTGGCAACATAACATACTTCCAAGAGTAGAAAACTGTGGACTAAAAAACAGGGTTTGCTTCTTGCCTAAACCACTTACTAGCTCTCTAAATTATTCTCAATAATCTTAACCATCAAACATGATGGTGATACAGGTCTTAAAAATTTACTATATATAAACATTTCCAAAACTATCATACAATTAAAATGGTAGGTACTGTGAAGAAAATTCTTCAACTTATTGCTCATGTAGTATGGTAGGTATTTCCTTATAAATTACAATTCTTACCTCAAATTAACAAAATGATCAAATTATATATTTGAAAATTTCATTTCCTACATTCATTTACAACTTAAATACTCTAGGTAAACAAATTTGTCCATATAGATAATATTTTTATCTTTCTCTTAAAAAAACCCTAAAGTAGTGATTTTGACCAAGTGGAATGATTGAATGAATGTTCTCCACATGGCCACTAAATAGACTGCATTTTCCTTAATAGAAAATAAATACATAATACATATAGTCTTCTGTGAAACAATATAGAAGACAATTTTTTTCTATCTTGTAGAACTTAAAGAAGAAAATTAATTGATCAGAATTTTAATTTACTCATGAAATTACTCATCTACTCATATATTCATTTATTTATTTAATCACTCAACAAATTATGACTGAGTCTGACATTTCTCACTTCATGATCTGATGCAAGGTATTGAACAGTGAATAAGATTTTAATCTGGTTTTTAACATGGTATTTAAATCATAGATATATACACACCATGTAACCCATCTTAAAAATGTCTTAGAATATTTACAATATTCTACTTTTTATGCTGTATATTATATTTCTTTGTCTTACTTTCAAATTATAATTTTCCTTTTCAGGTTCAATCTTAGATGACTAAGTCTTCTTCGATGCACTCCCCTGATTACGCTGCTCAGAGACTACATACAGTCAATAAATGATTTTTTAAATTTTAATTGACGGTTCCCAGAAAGAAAACTACCTATTTTATTCTGGCCACCTTAACCTGCCTTAACTCACAGTCTCAGAAATAATAGGAATGGGGGTGGCACTTGGCCTGTTGATTCATTGCTTTATTCCAGCTCATGGCCACAGTTTACCTGTGTGTTTGTTTTTCACATTGAATGAACCATTCAATTTTATGGACTAGTTTGAGTGATTTTTCACTAAACTTGTAAACTAGATGAGTTATGTCAGCAACTTTAGATAGTTTTGCTTTCAACTGTAATTCATTATATCTTCCTGAATAGAATTTAAAAAGAATGCAAAGGAGTGAGCAGAAAGCGTCAAATAGAGGCAAGGGGCCAGCTGCAGTGGCTCACACCTGTAATCCAGGCACTGTGGGGGGCCAAGGCAGGCCAGTCCCTTGAGTCCACGAGTTCAAGACAAGCCCTGACAAACCTTATCTCTATAAAAAATACAAAAATTATCTGTGTGTGATGGTGCACTCCTGTGATCCCAGCTACTTGAGTGGCTGAGGCAGGAGGATCGCTTGAGTGAGGGAGGTTGAGGCCGCAGTGAACCAAGATTGTACCCTGCACTCCAGCCTAAGCAACAGAGATCCTGTCTCAAAAAAAGAAAAAAAAAATAGAGTCAAGAAAAGGCATGATGATCATAATATTAATAAATAATAAGAATACTCACTATGTTCATATACTAGATATAGGATCACGTCATTTAACAACAGCTTTTGTCATATAAAGTGATCAAATGTAGATCAACCAATTTTTCAAAGGACTGACAGAAACATCAGTGTTTCTTCATGTAAAGACTTCAGTAGGAATTCTATTGTGCAACTACAGTCATCAGGTTTACGTTTATATAAGTATGTTGCAATTACTACAACATTCCTAGCAAGTCTTTTAGGAATACAATCCTAAACCTCTGCACATCACCAGAGTCCCAGGAGGAGCTCAGAACATCGTCTCAATGTTAAATGAATTTGGCCAAATTAAAGTGTACATTTGGACACTGGTTTTGTACATCTGGAAATACTAACACAGATAAATGTAATATCTCTCAGATTCATGGCTTTTCACCACTCACAGTAGTAAGAAAATGAAGAAAGCCTTGACAAACTCATTATTCAGAAGGATTGCAAGAGAAAAGCATAAATGTTATTGAGATGTTATGATCTAGAAAAAACTCTGTGTTAAACCTCAGCAAAACTACCTTTGCTGCAAATTGGACAATTACCTAATCTCTTGATCTTTACTTATAGAACCCCTAAGCCACCAACTGACTGATGAAACTCCCTCTCTGCTAAGGGCATTCCAACCTAAAGTAGAAAATATAGTTCAGTCCATAATGGAAAGCCAGTGGAGGTTGAAAATGCCTCCTTATATTCTCTTCCCTTTGGAATTTATGTACAACTGGCCAACATCTAAATTAAAATTGATATCCTTCCACAATGAAAACAGTAAGACATTGATGCAACAAATTGAAAAGGACACACAAGAAAGAAAACATATTTCTTGTTGATAGATTTGAATAATCAATATTGTTAAAATGTCTACACTACACAAAGCAATCTACAGATTCAATATTACCCCTATCAAAATAACAACATTCTTCACAAAAATTTTAAAAAATGCTAAAATGTACATGGAATCTTAAAAGACCCAGAATACCCAAAGCAATCCTGAGCAAATAGAACAAAACTCAAGGAATCACATTGCCTGACTTAAAATTATACTAAGGAGCTATAGTAACCAACACAGCATGATACTGACATAAAAAAAAACACATAGACTAATAGAACAGGAGAGAGAACCAGGAAACAAACACACAGACTAATGAGTGGAAGAGAGAAACAAGAAACAAATCCATACAGGAAGTTCATTTTTCATAAAGATGCCAAGAACATACATAGGGGAAAAGACAGTCTCCTCAATAAATGGTGCCAGGAAAACTGTATGTTCTTATGCAGAAGAATGAAACCAGACACCTATTTCTTGGCTTATAAAAAAATCAAAATGATTTAAAGACTTTAAGACCTCAAATTATGAAACTACTAACAGAAAACATTGGGGAAACTCTCCAGGACATTGGACTGGGCAAAGATTTCTTGAGCAATTCACTGCAGGCACAGGCAGTCAAAGCAAAGGTGCACAAATGGGATCAAATTAAGATAAAAAGCATTTGCAGAACAAAGGAAACAATCAAGAAAGTAAAGAGACAATCCACAGAATGAGAGAAAATATTTTAAAACTATTCATCTGACAAGGGATTAGTAACCAGAATTTATAAGGGGCTCAAACAACTCTATAGGAAAAAGTCTAATAATCCAATTTAAAAATGGGAAAAAGTTCTGAAAAAATTTTCTACAAAGAAGACATACAAATGGCAAAATGGTGTATGAAAAGTTGCTCAACATCATCAATTATCTGAGAAATACAAGTTAAAACAGCAATGAGATACCATCTCATCCCGGTTAGAATTGCTTTTATCCAACCGTCAGGCAATAACAAATGCTGGTGAGGATGTGGAGAAAAAGAAACCCCTGCACACTTCATAAGTATGTAAATTGGTGCAAGCACTACAAAAAACAGTTTAGAGGTTCCTCAAAAAACTAAAAATTGGCCAGGTACAATGGCTAATGCCTGCAATCCCAGTTCTTTGGGAGGCTGAGGCCAGGAGTTAGAGACCAGCCTAGCCAACATGGCAAAACCCCATTCCTTCTAGAAATAACAACAATTATCCAGGCATGGTGGCACAAGTCTGTAATCCCAGCTACTCGGGAGGCTGAGAAATGAGAATCGCTTGAACCTGGGAAGCAGAGGTTGCAGTGATCTGAGATTGCACTATTCACAAAAGCCAATATATGAAATCAACCTATGTGTCCATCAGCACATAAATCAATAGAGAAAATGTGATGTTTATACACAATGGAATACTATGCTGGCACACACAAAAAATGAAATCTTGTCGTTCACAGCAACATGGATGAGCCTGGAGGACGTTATATTAAATGAAACTAGTCAAGCACTAAAAGATAAATGCTATATGTTCTTTCTAATATATGGGAGCTAAAAAAATTAACTTACAGAAGTAGAGGGTAGAATTGTGATTATTAGAGTCTTGGAAGGTTGGGGGAGGAGACAATAGAGAGGTTTGTTAACAGACACAAAGGAACAACTAGATCATGGGAATGTAAACTAATACAACCACAGTGGAAAACAGTATGGAGATTCCTTAAAGAACTAGAAATAGAAGTACTATTTGATTCAGCAATCCCACTACTGTGTATCTACCCAAAGGAAAAGAAGTCATTATAGGAAAAATATGTGTAGTTCCATATTTTGCAATTGCAATTACAAAGATGTGGAACCAACCTAAATGTCCATCAACTGAACAGGGTGTCAGGCCTCTGAGCCCAAGCTAAGCCATCATATCCCCTGTCACCTGCACGTACACATCCAGATGGCCGGTTCCTGCCTTAACAGATGACATTCCACCACAAAAGAAGTGAAAATGGCCTGTTCCTGCCTTAACTGATGACATTGTCTTGTGAAATTCCTTCTCCTGGCTCATCCTGGCTCAAAAGCTCCCCCACTGAGCACCTTGTGACCCCCACTCTGCCCGCCAGAGAACAATCCCCCTTTGACTGTAATTTTCCTTTATCTACCCAAATCCTATACAACGACCCCACCCTTATCTCCCTTTGCTGACTCTCTTTTTGGACTCAGCCCGCCTGCACCCAGGTGATTAAAAGCTTTGTTGCTCACACAAAGCCTGTTTGGTGGTCTCTTCAAACGGATGCACATGGAATTTGATGCTATGACTCGGATCAGGGGACCTCCCTTGGGAGATCAATCTCCTGTCCTCCTGCTCTTTGCTCCATGAGAAAGATCCACCTACGACCTCAGATCCTCAGACCCACCAGCGCAACATCTCACCAATTTCAAATCCGGTATGAGGCCTCTTTTTACTCTCTTCTCCAACCTCCCTCACTATCCCTCAACCTCTTTCTCCTTTCAATCTTGGTGCCACACTTCAATCTCTCCCTTCTCTTAATTTCAATTCGTTTCATTTTCTGGTAGAGACAAAGGAGACACATTTTATCCGTGGACCCAAAACTCCAGCGCTGGTGACAGACTGGGAAGGCAGCCTTCCCTTGGTGTTTAATCATTGCAGGGACACGTCTCTGATTATTCACCCATGTTTCAGAGGTGTCAGACCACGCAGGGATGCCTGCCTTGGTCCTTCACCCTTAGTGGCAAGCCTCCACTCCTCCACCCTATAATCCTTTTATCACCTCCCCTCCTCACACCCGGTCCAGCTTACAGTTTCGTTCCTCAACTAGCCTTCCCCCACCTGCCCAGCAATTTCCTTTTAAAAAGTGGCTGGAGCTAAAGGCATAGTCAAGGTTAATGCTCCTTTTTCTTTATCCCAAAATCAGTTAGCGTTTAGGCTCTTTTTCATCAAATATAAAAACCCAGCCCAGTTCACGGCTCGTTTGGCAGCAACCCTGAGACACTTTACAGCCCTAGACCCTAAAAGGTCAAAAGGCCATCTTATTCTCAATATACATTTTATTACCCAATCTGCTCCTGACTTTAAATAAAGCTCCAAAAATTAAATTCCGGCCCTCAAACCCCACAACAGGACTTAATTAACCCACCTTCAAGGTGTACAATAATAGAAAAAAGCTGCAATTCCTTGCCTCCACTGTGAGACAAACCCCAGCCACATCTCCAGCACACAAGAACTTCCAAACGCCTGAACCGCAGCGGCCATGCATTCCTCCAGAACCTCCTCCCCCAGGAGCTTGCTATAAGCGCCGGAAATCTGGCCACTGGGCCAAGGAATGCCCGCAGCTCAGGATTCCTCCTAAGCCATATCCCATCTGTGTAGGACCCCACTGAAAATCAGACTGTTCAACTCACCTGGCAGCCACTCCCAGAGGCCCTGGAACTCTGGCCCAAGGCGCCCTGACTGACTCCTTCCCAGATCTTCTCAGCTTAGCGGCTGAAGACTGACACTGCCCGATCGCCTCAGAAGCCCCCTAGACCATCACGGACGCCGAGCTTTGAGTAACTCTCACGGTGGAAAGTAAGTCCGTCCCCTTCTTAATCAATACGGAGGCTGCCCACTCCACATTACCTTCTTTTCAAAGGCCTGTTTCCCTTGCCTCCATAACTGTTGTAGGTATTGACGGCCAGGCTTCTAAACCTCTTAAAACTCCCCAACTCTGGTGCCAACTTAGACAATACTCTTTTAAGCACTCCTTTTTAGTTATCCCCACCTGCCCAGTTCCCTTATTAGGCCGAGGCACTTTAACTAAATTATCTGCTTCCCTGACTATTCCTGGGCTACAGCCACACCTCATTGCCACCTTTTCCCCCAGTTCAAAGCCTCCTTCACATCCTCCCCTTGTATTTTCCCACCTTAACCCACAAGTATAAGATAGCTCTACTCCCTCCTTAGCGACCGATCATGCACCCCTTACCATCCCACTAAAACCTAATCACCCTTACCCCACTCAATGCCAGTATCGCATCCCACAGCATACTTTGAAAGGATTAAAGCCTGCTATCACTCGCCTGTTACAGCATGGCCTTTTAAAGCCTATAAATCCTCCTTACCATTCCCCCATTTTACCTGTCCTAAAACCAGACAAGACTTACAGATAAGTTCAGAATCTGTGCCTTATCAACCAAATTGTTTTGCCTATCCACCCCGTGGTGCCAAACCCATATACTCTCCTATCCTCAATACCTGCCTCTACTACCCATTATTCTGTTCTGGATCTCAAACATGCTTTCTTTACTATTCCTTTGCACCCTTCATTCCAGCCTCTCTTCACTTTCACTTAGACTGACCCTGACACCCATTAGGCTCAGCAAATTACCTGGGCTGTACTGCCGCAAGCCTTCACAGACAGCCCCCATTACTTCAGTCAAGCCCAAATTTCATCCTCATCTGTTACCTATCTCGGCATAATTCTCATAAAAACACATGTGCTCTCCCTGCTGATTGTGTCCGATTAATCTCCCAAACCTCAATCCCTTACAAAACAACAGCTCCTTTCCTTCCTAGGCATGGTTAGTGCCGTCAGAATTCTTACACAAGAGCCAGGACCACACCCTGTAGCCTTTCTGTCCAAACAACTTGATCTGTTTTAGCCTAGCCTTCATGTCTGCATGCAGCAGCTGCCACTGCTTTAATACTTTTAGAGGCCCTAAAAATCACAAACTATGCTCAACTCACTCTCAACATTTCTCATAACTTCCAAAATCTATTTTCTTCCTCATACCTGACGCATATACTTTCTGCTCCCTGGCTCCTTCAGCTGTACTCACTCTTTGTTGAGTCTCCCATAATTACCATTGTTCCTGGCCCAGACTTCAATCCGGCCTCCCACATTATTCTGGATACCACACCTGACCCTCATGACTATCTCTCTGATCCACCTGACATTCACCCCATTTCCCCATATTTCCTTCTTTCCTGTTGCTCACCCTGATCACATTTAGTTTATTGATGGCAGTTCCACCAGGCCTAATCGCCACTCACCAGCAAAGGTAGGCTATGCTATAGTATCTTCCACGTCTATCATTGAGGCTACTTCTCTGCCCCCCTCCACTAACTCTCAGCAAGCCGAACTAGTTGCCTTAACTCAGCCCCTCACTCTTGCAAAAGGACTACGTGTCAATATTTATACTGACTAAATATGCCTTTCATATTCTGCACCACCATGCACTCATATAGGCTGAAAGAGGTTTCCTCACTACACAAGGGTCCTCCATCATTAACACTTCTTTAATAAAAACTCTGCTCAAGGCTGCTTTACTTCCAAAGGAAGATGGAGTCATTCAGTGCAAAGGCCATCAAAAGGCATCAGATCCCATTGCTCAGGGCAATGCTTATGCTGATAAGGTAGCTAAAGAAGCAGCTAGCTTTCCAACTTCTGTCCCTCACACCAGTTTTTCTCCTTCACATCAGTCACTCCCATCTACTCCCCCGCTGAAACTTCCACCTATCAGTCTTTTCCCACACAAGGCAAAGGTTCTTAGACCCAGGAAAATATCTCCTTCCAGCCTCATAGGCCCATTCTATTCTGTCGTCATTTCATAACCTCTTCCATGTAGGTTACGAGCCACTAGCCCGTCTCTTAGAATCTCTTATTTTCTTTCCATCCTGGAAATCTGTCCTCAAGGAAATCACTTCTCAGTGTTCCATTTGCTATTCTACCACCCCTCAGGGATTGTTCAGGCCTCCTCCCTTTCCTACACATCAAGCTCGGGGATTTGCCCCTGCCCGGGACTGGCAAATTGACTTTACT
The DNA here is from genome assembly GCF_000001405.40 of Homo sapiens. NCBI lineage: Eukaryota > Metazoa > Chordata > Mammalia > Primates > Hominidae > Homo > Homo sapiens. The sequence goes on along the minus strand of NC_000001.11, from coordinate 248,337,178 downwards.
CACATGCCCCAAGTCAGGAAACTAACGTACCTCTTAGTCTAGGTAGACACTTTCACTGGATGGGTAGAGGCCTTTCCTACAGGGTCTAAGAAGGCCACCGCAGTCATTTCTTCCCTTCTGTCAGACATAATTCCTTGGTTTGGCCTTCCCACCTCTATACAGTCTGATAGCAGACTGGCCTTTATTAGTCAAATCAGCCAAGCATTTTTTCAGGTTCTTAGTATTCAGTGAAAACTTTATATCCCTTACAGTCCTCAGTCTTCAGAAAGGTAGAACAGACTAACGGTCTTTTAAAAACACACCTCACCAAGCTCAGCCACCAACTTAAAGAGGACTGGACAATACTTTTAGCACTTTCCCTTCTCAGAATTCAGGCCTGTCCTTGGAATGCTATAGGGTACAGCCCATTTGAGCTCCTGTATGGACACTCCTTTTTATTAGGCCCCAGTCTCATTCCAGATACCAGACCGACTTGGACTGTGCCCCAAAAATCTTGTCTTCCACACTATCTTCTGTTTAGTCATACTCGTATTCACCATTCTCAACTATTCATACATGCCCTGCTCTTGTTTACACTGCCGGTTTACACTGTTTCTCCAAGCCATCACAGCTGATATCTCCTGGTGCTATCTCCAAACTGCCACTGTTAACTCTTGAAGTAAATAAATAATCTTTGCTGGCAGGACTATGCTGAATCTCCTTAGGCACTCTAATTAGATATACTAGGTCCTCCCAATTCTTAGACGTTTAATACCTGTTTTTCTCCTTCTCTTACTCTGTTTAGTTTTTCAATTCATACAAAACCGTATCCAGGCCATCACCAATAATTCTAAATGACAAATGTTTCTTCTAACAGTCCCACAATACCACCCCTTACCACAAAATCTTCCTTCAGCTTAATTTCTCCCACTCTAGGTTCCCATGCTGCCCCTAATCCCACTGGAAGCAGCCCTGAGAAACATCACCCATTATCTCTCCATACCACCCCCAAAAATTTTCACTGTCCCAACACTTTACCACTATTTCATTTTATTTTTCTTATTAATATAAGAAGACAGGAATGTCAGGCCTCTGAGCCCAGGCTAAGCCATCATATCCCCTGTGACCTGCACGTACACATCCAGATGGCCGGTTCCTGCCTTAACTGATGACATTGTCTTGTGAACTTCCTTCTTCTGGCTCATCCTGGCTCAAAAGCTCCCCTACTGAGCACCTTGTGACCCCCTCTGCCTGCCAGAGAACAACCCCCGTTTGACTGTAATTTTCCTTTATCTACCCAAATCCTTTACAATGACCCCATCCTTATCTCCCTTCGCTGACTCTTCGGACTCAGCCTGCCTGCACCCAGGTGATTAAAAGCTTTATTGCTCACACAAAGCCTGTTTGCTGGTCCCTTCACATGGATGCGCATGAAACAGTGGATAAAGAAAATGTAGTAAATATATACTTTGGAATACTACTCAGCCATAAAACAGAATGAAATATCATTTGCAGCAACTTGGGTGGAGCTGGAGATCATTATTCTAGGATCATTATTCAGAAATAAAAAAACAAATATCACATGTTCTCACAAGTGGGAACTGAGCTATGAGGGTGCAAAGGCATAAGCATGATATCATGGAATTTGGGGAGTCAGGGGAAGGGTGGGAGGGTGGTGAGGCATGAAAAAACTACACACCAGGTACAGTGCACACTGCTTGGGTAATGGGTCCACCAAAATCTCAGAAATCACCATAAAAGAACTTATCTATGTAACCAAAGACCACTCATCCCTAAAAAACTACTGAAGTAAATTTTTAAAAAAGTACATAAAGAGCTACAGCTAGAGAAAAGGAATCAGTTCTAGTGTTCTATAGTTATCTAGGTTGAATACGATTAACAATAATGTATATTTTCTAAAAGCTAGAAGAGAGGATATTGAATGTTTACAACATGAATAAATAATAAAAGTTTGGAGCTAATAAATATGCTAACTACATTGATTTTATCATTACACAGTGTATACATGTATTGAAGTATCACTCTGAATCCTATAAGTATGTACAATTATTATGTGTTAAGATTTTAAAAAATGGACCAAATTCTAAATTTAATAATGACAAGTGTAAAACTTTTAGAAAAGTACATAGGGAGAAAGTTTCATGACACTGGATTTGGCAATGATTTATTGGATATGACACCAAAAGTTTTGGGAACAAAAAAATTGATAAATTAGTGTACATTAAATTTAAAATTTTCATGCATAAAATCACAATCAATAGAGTGAAAAGAAATTTCATAAAATAGAAGCAAATATTTGCAAATCTTATATCCAACAAGTGCATAATTTCCAGTATATATAAAACAAACTGCTACTACTCAACAACATAAAAACAAATAATCCTATTCCAAAATGGGAAAATGACAGAAGAGACATTTCCTCCAAAAATGATGTACAAGTGGTCAATAAACACATGAAAAGGTATTCAACATCTCTTATCATTAGGTGCAATGTACTCACCACTTATACCCCCACCCCCATTCATATGTTGAAATTCTAATTTTCAAGGTGATGGTATTAGAAGATGAGGCCTTGGGGAGATAATTAGTTCATGAGGGATGCCCTCATGAGTGGGATAAGTGCTTTCATTAAAAAGACCCCAGAGAGCTAGCTAGCACCTTCTGCCATGTGAAGATACAAGAAGAAGTCACTATCTATACACCAATAAGTGGGCCCTTAGAAGACATCCAATCTGCCAGTAACTTGGTCATGGACTTCCCATTCTTCAGAATTATGAAAAATAATTTCCTGTTGTTTATAAACTACCCAGGTTATGGTATTTTGTTATAGCAGTCTGAATAGTCTAAGACACTAGGGGAATGCAAATCAAAACCACGGTAAGATAACACTTCACACCAGTAAGAATGGCTACTATAAAAACCAACTAACAATACAGAAAAAGACAAATGTTGGCAAGGATGTAGAAAAAATGGAACACTCGTGCACTGTTGATGGAAATATAGGAGTGTAAGGTGGTGCTGCTGCTAGGGAAAACATTATGGTAGATACATTAAAAATATTGCAGAATTTTCATATGATCCAGCAATTTCATTTCTGGGTACATACTCCAAAAATTTGAAAGGAGGAATTAAAAGAGATATTTGTACACTCATGTTTATAGCAACATTATTTTCAATAGTATAGCAACATTATTTTCAGTAGCAAAAAGGTGGAAGCAACCCAAGTGTTCATCAATAAATGAATGGATAAACAAACTGTGGTGGATCCAGACAATGGAAAAATATTTAGCTTTAAAAATGAAATTCTGATACATGCTATATAACATGGGTAAACTTTGAGGCTATCATGATACAGGAGTTAGAAAGAAATTATTTAGTCAGATAGTGATGGTAAAAGAGTCCTCAGCAGAGCTTTCCTTTTAACTAAAAGCAGCCCAAGAAATTATTTTTTTAAACAAAGAGCAGTCTGAAAAATCAGAGCTGCAAACGCGGATATGCCAGCGGAAGCTTGCACGAGGAAATGCTGGCTGCTATGCCAATAGAAAAAAGGGCTACCTGGGGGCCAGGCAAGTCCAAAATGGAGGCTCCATCCTCCCTTTTTTTTGTTATCACAAGTATAATAAAGGAATGGGCTACATGGTGCAGACCAATTGAGGCCAGGAGTTCAAGACCAGCCTGGCCAATATGGTGAAACACTGTCTGTACTAAAAATACAAAAATTAGCCTGCATAATAAAAGATTAGAGTGGAGGTGGTCAGCAATTCATGCCCTATGCAAATGGCACACTTACTTCTAACCAGTTTTTTGCACCCTATGCAAATAGCACACCTGGTCCAACCAATCATCTGTCCCCTATGTAAATCAAACACCACCTCTTCCCCAGGCATCCATAAAAACCTTGCCTTTTACCACAGATCTGGTACTAATTTCTCTGGGACCCCTCTCTGCAGGAAGAGAACTATTCTCTTTCTTTCGCCTATTGAAGTTCCACTCTTAACCTCACTCTTTGTGTGTCCACATCCTTGATTTCCTTGACCCTGAGACAATGAACCTCAGGTAGGTATTTACCCCAGACAAGGAAACCGTTTCACAAAATAGAATAAGCCAGTTACAAATGGGCAAATATGGTGTGATTTTACTTATATGAGGTACCTAGGGAACCTCAAATTCATAGAGATGGACAGTAGAATGGTGGCTGCCAAAGGTAAGGAAAGAAAGGAATTGTGTGGTTTTTGTTTAGAGGGTACAGTTCAATGTCATCTACCAGCAGTCCCCAACCTTTTAGGCACCAGGGAGTGGTTTCATGGAATACAATTTTTCCACTGATGTGGCAGGGGCTGGCAGGAGAGGGTTTCAGGATGAAACTCTTCCACCTTAGATCATCAGTCATTTATTAGCTTCTCATATGGAGCCAGGAACCTAGATCCCTCCCATGCATAGTTCACAATAGGGTTCAGGCTCCTATGAGAATTGAATGCTAGTGCTGATCTGACAAGAGTCAGAGCTCAGGCAGCAATGCCTGCTTTCTGCTGACCTCCTGCTGTGCAGCCTGGTTCCTAACAGGCCATTGACCAGCACACCTCTGTGGCCCGAGGGTTGGAGACCCTTGTTGCATATAATGAAAAATGTCTGGAGATTGTTTGTTCAACCATGTCAATGTACTTTACATTATTGAACTGTATACTTAAAAATAATTAAGATTATTTAATATTATGTATATTTTATCACAAGAACTAAAAACAAAACTAAAAAACAGTATCTCATTAAAGACAGAATCAGGTACTTTTCCTGAGTAAGGGACACTTAAGAGGCATAACAAAGAAAGGCAACTCATCACCTGACTTTGATTATTTTGCTATATGAGAGGTATTATTGGGATAGTTGGAAAAATTCAATGGGGTCTGTGGACCAGAGGGTGGTAAAGTATTGAGGATAGCTTCATGATTTGGGCAGTAGGAGAAAGATCTCTTTCTGTAGGAAAGCCACTAAGATATTAGAGAGCAATGGATCAAATCTCCAATGGTTCAGAGAAGAAAAATTTTGTGTAGTTATTGCAACTTTTGAATAACTTTGAGAATGTTTCCAAAAAAGCTTTAAAACTACATAATATCTGAATAAAGATATCATTTGTTATAAAATTAAAATTACATTTTCCATAGTACAAGAAGCAATTTATATTTTCTCCACTAGAAAATGTAAAATTGAAGACTACTAGTTGATCCTGGCTTGAAAAGTTTAGTAAGATGCAAAAAAAGTACTGCTAAAGATAATAAAATTCTTTTAGCATTTACATTCAAATGCTAAATTTAGATTACTAAATGTAAATTTAGTAATGTTGCTAGATACAAATCAATGTAATAACTGCAGTTTTGTATTTTCTGTTGTGATGGTTAATACTGAATGTCACCTTGATTGGATGAAGGATGCAAAGTATTGATCCTGGGTGTATTTTTGAGGGTGTCACCAAAGGAGACTTACATTTGGGTCAGTGTGTCAGAAAACGCAGACACACTCTTAATCTGGGTGGGCAGAATCTAATCAGCTGCCAGCTCTGCCAGAATAAAAAACAGGCAGAAGAATGTGAAAGGCCTAGATTGGCTTGGCTTCCCACACCTACACCTCGCTCCCGTGCTGGATGATTCCTGCCCTCAAACTGTCCCGAGTTCTTCAACTTTGGGACTCGAACTGGCTTCCTTGCTCCTCAGCTTCAGAGGACCGACTGTGGGACCTTGTAACCATGTGGTTTAATACTCTTTAATATTAATCGTGCCATCTCAGCTCACTGCAATCTCCACCTCCCAAGTTCAAGAGAGTCTCCTCCCAAGTAGCTAAGATTAAAGGCCTGTGCCACCATGCTGGCTAATTTTTGTATTTTTAGTAGAGACAGAGTTTCACCATATTGGCCAGGCTGGTCTTGAACCCCTGGCCTCAAGTGATCTGCCCGCCTCAACCTCCCAAACCGCCAGGATTACAGGTGTGAGGCAACATGCCCGGCTTCTAATATTTTATTCTAAGCTGGTGATGAGTACATTGGCATTTAGTATTTTATACATTCTCTTCCGGTGAAATATTTCTAAAGATACAAAATAGCTATCATTGTAATTCAGGCTTAGAACAATTTAAGAAAAACAATACAATTATCTCAGTAAAAGCAGGGCATCATTCAATATGATTCAGTGAACATTTGTTGAACAAAGCATTGGTAAAAGAAATAAAATGGGATTTTGCTAAATTGGTGAATATATCTACCAAAACCTCAGACAAACACTATACCCAATGGTGAACCATAATTGCTAAAGGTCACCTACTCACTAATATTATTCTTCAACCTTTTAATTATATATATTTTAATCAAGTGATGTAAGAAAAAATAGATAAGATTGGAAAGAAATATGAAGTTGTTAAGTTGTTTTATGCATTGTATGTAACATTTTTCTCTGCAATAAGAAATACAAAAATAAAAAACGACATTCTAAGATTCAAGATCTACAAACAATTAATAGATTTCTACATATTAACAAAAAGAAATAGAAAAAGTAATGGAAACAATATTCCATACACTAGAGCAACAAAATATAAAATACCCATGAACATTTCTATTTAATAAGAATAAATTTTACAGAAAATATATACAGTAGTTTTAAGGGATAGAAAACATATAAGGAACATATAAATAAAATTAGAATTATGTTGAGAACATCAAGATGTTAAAAATGCCAATTCTACCTAAGCATATCTTGTTTTGATGATGGAGCAGAAGGGAGAGTGAAGATAAGCCATAGAAGAGGGACGAACCAGCTCTGGAACGCCCTGACTGCCATTTGCTACTGAATTTGCAACTTCGGGGAATTTACTTAAGCTTCTGCCCTTAGTTTCATCATGCAAAAAAATGAGAATATAATTAAAGATAATATATAATAATATATTCAGGTGTCTAATAAGGGTATCTGGTACACACGATGGTTGTAGATGTTATGTGAATTTACAAACCGTTTTTTTTTTAAACCACAGTGCCAGTTGCACAGAAAGCACTTGGTGTTTTTTACCTCATCATGTGAGAGAGAGGAAGGAGAGGTTTCAGAAAGTTTACACTAATCTGCAAGGAAAGAGTCATCATTATCTTTGTAGTATTTTCAAGAAAAGGAAGCTAATTCTGCTTCATGACCTAGAAGAGGAGATAGAAGGAAATACAAACTTCGATAATTAAAGACAAGGGAATGGATTCCCCAAGAGCTAAAAATTTAAATTTTTGTGTCCTTTGATTTTTCAATAACAATAAAGATACCCATTGTAAGTTAGGTGCTTTTCTTCTGATGATGGAAATATAAAGACATGTAAGATATTTATATATTTTTGCCTTCCCAGGAACCTACAGTCTCATTGAAAATACACACTATTCAGATCAGTACTAAGAGGTAAGTTAACCAAGCCCCAACAAGACTGTTTATAAGCTAGTGTGAAAATTTCTGCTGAACATGGTGATGATTGATCTCATTTCTTACGTCATTTGTGTGCTAAGAATTTTATAAACATTGTTCTACTTTATTCGTGCAATATTACTTTGAGAAATGTGGTACAACTTGAGGCAGAATGAGTGGTTACCTCTCCCAGCTTATCAATATGAAAGATTGTATAAAATACAATATTTTTTGTTTTTCATATCCTGGTATTCTAGATTTGAGAAAGAAATTGACAGTGAATAGGAATCAGAGGAGAAAAGTAAAAGATGAGAACTGGATGTGATTTGAATGTTTTGACCACATTCTCTTTTCTTTTAATAATTGTAGCTCATGCAGGATGAGAATCCCTAAACCAAAAATCTAATATCCAAAGTACTCCAAAATCGGAATCTTTTTGAGTGCTGACATGAGATTGTGACATTCCTGCTTTCTGATGGTTCAGTGTACACAAACTTTCTCCCTTACACAAAATTATTTTAAAATATGGCATAAAACTACCTTCAGACTATGTGTATAAGGTATACATCGAACATAAATGAATTTTGTCTCTACACTTGGAGTCCATTCCTAGGATATCTCTTTATCTACATGTAGATATTCCAAAGTCTGAACAAGTCTGAAATCTGCAACACATCTGGTCATAAGCATTTTGGATAAGGAATCCTGGACCTGTAGTAATGAATGCTTTACATTTGTCATGTGCTCTTCTAAGACATTTACATATATTTACATATATTTTATTAAAGCTCAAGTATACAAAAATGTTTATTAAAAAATATGGTAGATATACATTTTGTAAAATCCTTTAAAATATTACCAATGTTTTTGAAAAAACACTTCAATTCTCTCTCATTGTGTAAACTTTCAAGCCCATTTTGCAGGTAATCATTATTCCAGGATTGCTGCACTTAATAAATGGTTTCTATATGTATGTTTAAATTACTATAATAGGATTCATGAGGGCATTCCCTGTGATCTACTTTGTTCATTCAACATTCTATTTGTGAGATTCATGAATGCTACTTCTTGTAGTTATAGTTATAAATTCCATTGCCAGTGCACATGCAGGTTGCATTTTCATATTACAAATAAAACTGCTATGCTCATTTTGCTAATATGAGAGATTTTTTGTTTTATTTCCTGATTATTCCTATTACAAAAGGGTAAAGTCATTTTAGCAACTTCAGTTGATTACACAGTGGATTACACATGCTGTCTGACATTATTTCACGTAATGCTTTACTTTTTTTTTTTTTTTTTTGGTCAAATTCTGGCCTCTTGATGCCTCTTTTCCATCATCTCACTCAGTGCCTTCTCAATTTCTCACCTAGATTTTCATGGTTTCTTTGTTACTATTGCTCTGGCCTGTGCACAGTTATCACAGTGTCATAAAATCTGACCATGATTTTCATGGATTTTGTGTTACAATATATTGCTCTGGGCATGTGCACAGTATCACAGTGTAATGAAATCTGATGACTCCTCTTCCAGATGTGATGAGGTTAATATATGAAAAAGACATTTAAAAATACTGAATCTATGCACCATCTTTTTACAAAATGATGGAGTTTATTACAACAGAAACAATGTAGATTAGATAAAATAAATAAAATTAGAAGCATAAAATTACAACTAAGGGAAAAATACTTGGTAGGCAATGTCTAATGCAGAGTTCAAAATGTTGTACCTCATTATGTGAATACCTTTGAAATATCAATAGGTATTCTAAAAAAATAAAAAACAAGATGTCATAATTTCAGAGCCATTCTGAAAAAGCTGCTTTTTATGTTCCTCCTAGTACAGAGCTGAAGCTCTAAATGTTCTGCTTTTTTTTTTTTTTTGGCAGTGAAGAGTCCTGGATAACTTGGAGTTGCAAATATATTTCACCACAGATCCATTTTTATAGGAATATATACAAATACCTCTTGGAATCCCAATGTTATCTTCACTGCATTTTCAGATTGTTTATATCCTGGATAACTTACACTGAGCTTCAGGATTGGGTCTCATATTCCTGGTGCCTAAAGGTAAGCACAATCTGTCATATGTATCTTACTAACTTAGAAGAAATGTCAAATTTTCATTAGAAACAATATTATTTTTCTTTATAGAATTTTATTGAATGAATGTTCATATGGATCTTAATATAGAAGGCATAGGGCAATCTAGTGCTCAATATTTTCAATTTTATCACTTATAAACTGTTATAAATTTGTGATATATCTTGCCACATTCTCTGTGACAGCACAAAATCAAGGAAGGCAATTTTAGCACGTGGGTATGAAGAGAATTTTGAGGCAATGAAAGGAGGTGAAAAATACGAGACAAATAAGAGTGCATTTATATAAGTTCAGCCTAAACTAATGTGACTGATACAATTCAGAGGGATATGTAGACTTACATTTGTAATCAATTTTGTTTTAATGCTGCATCATTCAATGGAATGTAAAACATATGGTAGAAATGTCTAAGTGATCAAGTAGAATTAATCACCATTTTATCTCAACTTAGTGACTTGGAAGTAGTGTTTCCCAAATGTAAAGAACACTTTGCCAACTGAAAAAGAAGCATAGGGAGAAGCGAACTTGACCACATAGCTTCCTTCTTGGAGTAATATTTCAGACTGAGTTAAAGAAAAATTATGGTGGAAATTTGAGGTAATACAGTTTAGTTTGGATAAATTGTGTATTGTAACAGTTGACAAGATCAAGAAAACTGGGACAGCTACAGTATGATGGTCGAAATAGGTGGTTCCATAAAGTAAGTTGAGATGAGTTATTTTCTTGAAGCGAATTCAGCTCATAAGCACTGGAAATTATTGAGGCAATACAACGTCTTTTCCCCTGATTGACCTTAAAAGCCCACCTCCTCTTGAGGACAACACAAGGGAACCCTTTGGTAGGAAACCCCCAACACTGAAGATCCCAGAGATGCCCATTTCTCATTCTCAAGACATTGACTGGACCTGGATCTGAGCTACCACTGATCAGGTTTATCCAACTTCTTGATAACCATTTGTTTTAAAACCAGAAAGGGAGGAGGTTGAAGCCTGTTTCTCTCTTCATGCTGATTGACAAAAATGATTTGTTTTTATTTTAGAGATTGCCATTCTAATCTCATGAGAGTCTCTTATGGAGATTCCTTCTCTGTCTTCCCTGCACTGAAGAGGCATGTTTTGTTAGGTTGTTCTTGAATGAAAACTTAAAACTCTGCTCGAGTATTTTTTTTCTTTCTTACCAATATTATTCACAATTAATATAAATAAATAAAACTCAAAAAGGTATACTTTACTACCTCCCTATTGAAAAAATTGTATTTCAACCCATGAGGACAAATTCCAGATTCCTTCTCTTCTGCAGATTTCTTCTAACTTCCTTGCTGCTCCTAGATTTTTCACCTTTCATTGATGTTGTTGTTTTCAGTCTCTTCATTAAAATGTGATGCATGAATAAATGAAAAAAGTACATTTCTGTCAAGTGAGTCTACTCACCAGGCTTGTCTTTCTGTTTATGACATCATTTTTTACTGCCTGGAATAATCTCCCTTCACATATTGGCTTTGCTCATACATTTATTATTATCTCACACAATAAAAACTTAATGCCACAACATACAAGAAACATAACTCTAAATTAGAAAACCCTATGTTTTCCCAAAATCTTCCACACATTTCTATTTTCTCTGTGTATGTTCTATTTATTGCATTTCATTTTGTGGAATTTATATACGTACAACCCTTTCCTGTGATCTGGTGTCTTTCTCACTTGCTCAGAGTCTTTGCCAAAAGCCATTAGATGTGTGAGGTTTCCCTTGACTACTTTATTCAAAGGTGAACATACTAGTGCATTTCTAACACCCTTCTTTGACTTACTTTTCTCCAAAATGTTTATCCTCTTATGACATAAAGTGTTTTATAATCATCATCTGATCACACTCACTATGACCTGTATGGACACGGGCTTTCTTTATTCTGGTCACTGTGGTAGCCCCAGTGATCAACACATAGCCAGGCTTCATAAATGTTGTTGAAAGGATGAATCTCATGCTTTTCTTAATTTCTGTTTTTATATCTACTTATTTTCTATAGGATATATTGGATGTATTAATTTCCTACGAATGCCAGTACAGAGAAATCACAAACAGGTTACCTAAAACAATAGAAATTTATTCTCTCATAGTTTTGGAGTCTAGAAATCTGAAATCAAGTTGTCAGCAGGGTTGGACACTTCTGAGGGCTCTAAGAGGATGAATCTGTCCCATTCCTCTCTCCCAGGTTCCTGTTATAACTAACAGTTTTTGGCATTTCTTGATTTGTAGATGCACCACTCCAATCCCTGCCTCCCCTATCACATGGTATCCTCAGTGTCTCAGTCTTCACATGGCCACCCACTTATCAGAACATGAGTCATATTGAATTAGAGAGACCCACTCTGCTCCAACTTGACCTCACCTTAACTAATTATACCCTTTATGTATTTCTAAACAAGCTCACTTGCTATCTTTTGGGGAAGAAACATAATTCAATGCATCACACTGGGCTATAGAAAAAAGAGCATATGTCTTAGATTTGTATAATTGAAAATCTTTTCAGTGAATCCACTTACTGTATAGAAAACTTACTATAAAGTATAGATAAAATACTTTAAACTGTAAAGTAATAGGTAAACATACACATTTTCTTAACTCTGGTAGGAAAAATGCCTACTATCATGTGAATAAAGGCACAAATTTATTGTCCATTTCTAGTATTGTGTTGGTCACATGGTGACTGAACCTGAATTTCTCTATCAATTTACCTGTAACAGGCTTCTGATGTTTTAGGAACTGTTTGCTTTGGAGACATATTCTTTTTGGAAAAACTCCATTGATCATGTAGTAGATATTGTTATTGTAATTTTTCAATGGAGAAAAAGAATGCTTAGAAGAAAAGTTAGGACAAGCTCCATAATTTTATAAGTGAGACACTGCTGAGAGAACATATTTCTTTATGATTCCATAATTCTTAAACTTTGAGTTTTATAATTCTGGCCATCCTGTATTGATCACCAAACTACAGAATTTACCATAATCACATGCTTTATAAGGCACTGGGTAAATGTTTATCAAATTAATGAACTGTTTTTGCGGTGCTAGGTAACAGGCATATTCATCATGGCATGGGAGAATCAGACCTTCAACTCTGACTTCCTCCTCCTGGGAATCTTCAATCATAGCCCCACCCACACCTTCCTCTTCTTTCTGGTCCTGGCCATCTTTTCAGTGGCCTTCATGGGAAACTCCATCATGGTTCTCCTCATCTACCTGGATACCCAGCTCCACACCCCCATGTACTTCCTCCTCAGCCAACTGTCCCTCATGGACCTCATGCTCATCTGCACCACTGTACCCAAGATGGCCTTCAACTACTTGTCTGGCAGCAAGTCCATTTCTATGGCTGGCTGTGCCACACAAATTTTCTTCTATATATCATTGCTTGGCTCCGAATGCTTTCTGTTGGCTGTTATGTCTTATGACCGCTACACTGCCATTTGCCACCCTCTAAGATACACCAATCTCATGAGACCCAAAATTTGTGGACTTATGACTGCCTTCTCCTGGATCCTGGGCTCTACAGATGGAATCATTGATGCTGTAGCGACATTTTCCTTCTCCTACTGTGGGTCTCGGGAAATAGCCCACTTCTGCTGTGACTTCCCTTCCCTACTAATCCTCTCATGCAATGACACATCAATATTTGAAGAGGTTATTTTCATCTGCTGTATAGTAATGCTTGTTTTCCCTGTTGCAATCATCATCACTTCCTATGCTCGAGTTATTCTGGCTGTCATTCACATGGGATCTGGAGAGGGACGTCGCAAAGCTTTTACTACTTGTTCCTCTCACCTCATGGTGGTGGGAATGTACTATGGAGCAGGTTTGTTCATGTGCATTCAGCCCACATCTCATCATTCTCCTATGCAGGACAAGATGGTGTCTGTATTCTACACCATCGTCACTCCCATGCTGAATCCTCTCATTTATAGCCTCCGCAACAAGGAAGTGACCAGAGCATTAATGAAAATCTTAGGAAAGGGCAAGTCTGGAGATTGAGTTACCTCATAAATTTCATGTTTTGCTGTCTGCTAACGTCTTCTTTTTATTGTCTCTCTTTTTCTATTAAGTCCTAAAAATATCACTAATTGTGTGCATTGCTCAACATATTGATGGGTACCAGTATAATTTATTTCAGATAAACTATTTTAGATTTTTTAATATTCAATTCAGTTATGACTACAATATAAGGCATTTTCAATAAAGACATTCCATTTTTATTTTTAAATTTCATTATCATTTTGGGAAACACATAGTGTTTGGTTACATTAATAAGTTCTTTAATGGTGATTTCTGAGATTTTAGTGCAGCGATCAACCAAGCAGTGTTCGCTGTACCTAATGTGTAGTCTTTTAGCCCTCTCCAGTCCCCAACATTTCTTCCAAGTCCCCAAGTCCAGTGTATCATTTTTATGCCTTGGTGTTTCATAGCTTAGCTGGCACATATGAGTGAGAATATACGATGTTTGGATTTCCATGCCTGTGTGACTTCACTTTGTATAATAGTCTCCAATTCCAACCAGGTTGCTGCAAATGCTATTAATTAATTCATTTTTATGGAAGAATAGTATCCCATGGTATGTATATACCACCTTTTATTTATCCACTCATTGACTGATGATCATTTAGGCTGATTCCATCTATTTGCAATTGCAAATTGTGTTGATATAAACATGCAACATGTAAGTACCTTTTTTGTATAATGACTTCTTTTCTTCTGAGTATATACCTTGTAGTGGTATTGCTGGATCAAATGGTAAATCTACTTTTAGTTGTTTAAAGAATCTTCACACTGTTTTTCCTAGTGTTGTAATAGTTCACATTCCCATCAACAGTGTAAAAGGGTTCCCTTTTCACCACATCCATGTCAACATCTATTATTGTTTGATTTTTTGATTATGGCCATTCTTGCAGGAGTGAGTTTGTATTGCACTGTGGTTTTGATTTGTATTTCCCTGATAATTAGTGATGTTCAGCATTTTTCCTTATGCTTTTTGGCCGTTTGTATATCTCCTTGAGAACTGTCTATTCAAGTCCCTTAGCCCAATCCCAGTTTGATGGGATTGTTTGTTTTCTTCTTGCTAATTTGTTTGAGTTCTTTGTAGATTCTGGATATTATTCCATTGCCAGATGTATAGATTGAGAAGATTTTCTCCCACTCTCTGGGTTGTCTGTTAACTCTGTTGATTATTTCTTTTGCTTTGCAGAAGTTTTTTAGTTTAATTTAGTCTTATCTTTTATCCCCGCACCTCTTTTTTTTTTTTTTTTTTGCATTTTCTTTTGGGTTCTCGATCATGAAGTCTTTGCCTAAGCCAATATCTAGAAGGGTGTTCCCGATGTTATCTTCTAGAATCTTTATGGTTTCAGGTTTTAGACGTAAGTCTTTGATTGGCCTTGAATTTATTTTTGTATAAGGTGAGAGATGAGGATTCCGTTTCATTATCCTACATGTGGCGCGCCAATTATCCCAGCAGCATTTGTTGAATAGGTTGTCCTTTCCCCACTTTATGTTTTTGTTTGCTTTGTGGAAAACCAGTTTGCTGTAAATATTTGACATTATTTCTGGGTTCTCTATTCTATTTGGTTTGTCCATGTGCCTATTTTTATACCAGTACCATGCTGTTTTCATGATAATGACTTTATAGTACAATCTGAAGTTGGGTAATGTGATATTTCCAGATTTGTTCTTTTTGCTTAGTTTTGCTTTGGCTGTGCAGGCTCCATTTTGATTCCATATGAATTTTAGGATTGTTTCTTCTAGTTTTGTGAAGAATGATGGTGGCAATTTGATGGGAATTGTATTGAATTTGTAGATTGCCTTTGGCAGTATGGTCATTTTCACACTATTGATTCTACCCACCCATGTGCAAGGGAGGTGTTTCCATTTGTTTGTGTCATCAATGATTTCTTTCAGCAGTGTTTTGTAGTTTTTCTTGTAGAGGTCTTTCATGTCCTTGGTTAGGTATATTCCTTAGTTTTAGTTTTTGTTTTTGTTTGCAGCTATTGTAAAAGGGGTTGAGTTCTTGATTTGATTCTCATCTTGGTCACTGTTGGTTTATAGCAGAGCTACTGGTTTGTGTGCATTAATTTTGTATCCTGAAACTTTGCTGAATTCATTTACCAGTTCTAGGAGCTTTTTGGATGAGCCTTGAGGGTTTTCTAGGTATATGATTATATCATCAACAAACAGTGACAGTTTTCCTTCCTCTTTACCAATTTGGATGCCCTTTTTTTCTTTCTCTGGTATTATTGCTCTAGTTAGGACTTCCAGTACTATGTTGAATAGGAGTGGTGAGAGCGGACATCCTTGTCTTATTCCATTTCTCATGCAAAATGCTTTCAACTTTTCCCTATTAAGTTTATTATTGGCTGTCGATTTCTCACAGTTGGCTTTGATTATCTTATGGTATGTCCCTTCTACACCGATTTTGCTGAGGATTTTAATCGTAAATGCATGCTGGATTTTGTCAAATGCTTTTTCTTGTCTATCTAGATGATCATGTGATTTTTCTGTTTAATTCTGTTTATGTGGGGTATATCACATTGATTGACTTAGGTATGTTAAACCATTCCTGCATCCCTGGTATGAAACCCACTTGAACGTGGTGGATTATCTTTTTGATATGCCATTGTATTTAGTTTGCTAGTATTTTGTTGATGATTTTTGCATCTATGTTCATCAAGGATATTGGTCTGTACTTTTCTTTTTTTGTTATGTCCTTCTCTGCTTTTGGTATTGAGGTGATAGTGGCTTCATAGAATGATTTAGGGAAGATTCCTCCTTTATCTTTTGGAATAGTCAATAGGATTGGTACTAATTCTTCTTTGAATGTCTGATAGAATTCAGCTGTGAATCTGTCTGGTCCTGGACTTTTTTTTTGTCGGCATTTTTTAAATTACCATTTTAATCTTGCTGCTTATTTTTGGTCTGTTCAGAGATTCTATATTTTCCTCATCTAATCTTGGAGGTTTATATATTTCCAGAAATTTATCCATCTCCTCTAGGTCTTTTAGTTTATGTGTATAAAGCTGTTCATAGTAGCCTTGAATAACCTTTTGTGTTTCTGTGGTACCAGTTTTATTATTGCCTGTTTCACTTCTTTCTTTCCTTTTCTTTTCTTTTCTTTTTTTTTTTTTTTTTGATGGAGTCTCACTCTGTTGTGCAGGCTAGAGTGCACTGGTGCAATCTGGGCTCACTGAAACCTCTGCTTCCCGGGTTCAAGCGATTCTCCTGCCTCAGCCTCCTGAGTAGCTGAGATTACAGGCACATGCCACCACACTGGGCTGATTTTTGTATTTTTAGTAGCAATGGGGTTTCACCATGTTGGTCAGGCTGATCTTGAACTCCTGACCTCATGATGCCCCCACTTCAGCCTCCCAAAGTGCTGGGATTACAGGCATGAGCCACCACGCCCGGTCACCTGTTTCATTTCTAATTGAGCTTATTTAAATCTTTTCTTTGATTGGTTAATCTCACTAATTGTCTACCAATTTTATTTATCTTTTCAAAGATCAGCTTTTTGTTTCATTTATCTTTTGCATTTTTGTGTTTATTTCAATTTTATTTAGTTCTCCTCTGATCTTCTTCTGGGCTTGGGTTTGGATTGTTTTTGTTTCTGCAGTTCAGGGAGGTGTGACCTTAGATTGTCTATTTGTGCTCTTTCAGACTATTTGATGTAGGCATTTAATGGTATGAACTTTCCTCTTAGCACTGCTTTTGCTGTATCCCAGTGGTTTTGATAGGCTGTGTCACTATTTTCATTCAGTTTAAATAATTTTTTTTAGTTTCCATGTTGATTTTATTGTTGACTCAACAATCTTTCAGGTGCAGGTTATTGAAATTCCATGTATTTGCCTGGTTTTGATTGTTCCTTTTGGAGTTGATTTCCAGTTTTATTCCACTATGGTCTGAGAGAGTACTTGATATAATTTTGATTTTCTTAAATTTACTGAGGCTTGTTTTGTGGCCTATCATATGGTCTATCTCAGAGAATGTTCCACGTGCTGATGAATAGTATATTCTGCAGTGGTAAGGTAGAATCTTCTGTAAATATCTGTTAAGTCCATTTGTTGTAGTATACAGTTTAATTTCATTGTGGCTTAGTTGACTTTCTGTTTTGATGACATGTCTAGTGTTCTCCATTGAGTATTAAAGTCCCCCAATGTTTTTGTGTTGTTGTCTATCTGATTTCTTAGGTCTAGTAGTAATTGTTTTATAATTGGGAGTTTCACAATTAGGTGCATATATATTTACAATTGTGAAATTTTCCTGTTGCACTACTCTTTTTATCATTTTATACTGTACCTCTTTTTCTTTTTTTAACTGCTGATATTTTAAAGTTTGTTTTTTCTGATATAAGAGTAGGCACTCCTGCTCAATTTTGGTTTACATTTGCATGGAATATCTTCTTCCACCCCTTTATAGTAAGTTTATGTGAGTCCTAATTATTTTCCAAACTTTTACATTTCTCTTCTTCTTCAGGAACATGAATTATTCTTAGATTTGGACATTTAACACAGTTCAAAACTTCTTGGCGGATTTTTCATTATTTAAAATTCTTTTTTCTTTGTCTTGGATGGATTGGTATAATTCAAAAACATCGTCTTCATCTCTGAGGGTCTTTCGTCTGCTTGTTCAATTCTATTGGTGAGACTTTCCCATGCATTTTGCATTTCTCTCAGTGTTTTCTTGATTTCCTTGAAGTTGTTATTGTTTTTTATTCATGCTATTTCACTGAAGAATTTTCCTTTCATATTCATATTCTGCATTATGTTTTTGATTTCTTTAAGTTGGACTTCACCTTTCTCTGATGCCTCCTTGATTAGCTTAATAACCTTCTGAATTTTTTTTTCTGGCAATTCAGAGATTTTTATCTTCGTTTGGATTCATTGCCGGCGAGCTGCTGTGATCTTCTGGGGGTATTAATGAACCTTGCTTTGTTATATTATCAGAATTGTTTTTCTGGTTCCTTCTCATTTAAGTAGACTATTTCAGAAGGAAAATCCGGGATTCAAGGGCTGCTGTTTAGATTTTTTTTTGTCCCACTGGGTGCTCCCTTGATGTGGTGTTCTCCCAGCTCTCCTAGGAAAGGGACTTCCTGAGAGCCAAACTGTAGTAGTTGCTTTTGCTCTTCTGGGTCTAGCCACACAGGGGAGCTACCAGGCTCTGGGCTGGTACTAGGGAGTGTCTTCAAAGAGTCCTGTGATGAGTTCTGTCTTCAGGTCTTGCAGCCATGGGTACCGGCACCTGCTCCAGGGGAGGTAACAGAGGAGTAAAATGGACTCTGTGAGGGTCTTTGGTTGTGTTTTTGTTTAGTGTACTGGTTTTGTGTTGGTTGGCCTCCAGCCAGGAGGTGATGCTTTCAGAGCGCAAGAGCTGGAGCCCTATAGTGAGGATGCAAACTTGCCCTAGGGACACCCTTTCAAGTATTCATGTTTCTCAGCTGGTGGGCAGGGCCTTAGAGCTCCCAAGAGATTATGACCTTTGCCTTCGGCTACCAAAGTGGGTGGAGAAAGACAATTAGGTGTGGGCAAAGATAGGCGTGTCGGAGCCCAGCCTCTCCTTGGGTGGGGCTTGCTGTGCTGCTGCTGTGAGGTCAATGCAGGTGTAGTTTCCAGTCTAATGGAGTTATATTCCCAGGGAGATTATGGCTGCCTGTGTTGCAACACACAGGTCATTAGGGAAGTGAGAGAAAGGCAGCAGTCACCAGTCTCACCAAGCTCCCACATAGCCCACAGTCCTAAAGGCCAGCCGTACTCCCACTGTGCCCTCATAACAGCACCGAGTCTATTTCCAAGCAGCTGGTGACCAGGGCTGAGAACTCATTCCAGAACATGAGCCTCTCTGTTGAGAAAGGAAACAGATTCACAGGTTTTCAGTGTCTCAGGGAGCCCGCAGTGGTGATCCAGTTCCTTCAAAGGGTCTGTGGTTTCTCTCAGCTTTCCTGGTATGTTCCTGCAGTAGTTCTTGGAGCAAAAGTTCACAATGTGAGTTTCCACATGCTACTCTGTCCATCTGAGTGGGAGCTGCAAGCTAGTCCTTCCTCCTATCCACCATCTTAGTACTAATCAGAACAATAAAGCTTTCTGTTTTTTCAGTATCATAAATTTTGTGCTGTGCATCCAGGTAGCATACAAATCTTTTTGCAAGGTGTAAACTCAAAGTTTTATTGAGCCTCTTAAAACTCACTTTGGAATAAAAGTTAATATACTGGAGGAGGGGCCAAGATGGCTGAGCAGAAACAGCTCCCAGGAAGGCCAATGCAGAAGGTGGGTGATTTCTGCATTTCCAACTGAGGTCCCCAGTTCATCTCACTGGGGCTGGCTAGGTAGTGAGTGCGACCCACAGAGAGTGAGCAGAAGCAGAGTGGGGCATCGCTTCATCGAGGAAGTGCAAAGAACCAGGGGACCTCCCTCCCCTAGCCAAGCAAAGAGGAGATGGACTGTGCTGCCTGCCTGCGGTACTATGCTTTTTCCGTGAATTTTTGCAATCTGCAGAATACGATATTTCCATGAGAGCCTACTCCACCAGGGCCCTGGGTTTTGAGCACAAAACTGGGTGGCTGTCTGAGCTGGCACTGAGCTGCAGGAGATTATTCAGACTCCAGCGGCACCTGGAACTCCAGTGTGACAGGAGAACTGTCCACTCCCCTGGAAAGGGGGCTGAAGCCAGTGAGCCAAGTGATCTCGCTCACCGAATCCTACTCCCATGGAGCCCAGCAAACTAAGAACCACTGGCTTGAAATTCTCAGTGCCCGCACCGCAGTCTGGAGTCTGCCTGGGACTATCGAGTTTGGTGGGAGGTGGAGGAGGGGGGCGAGGGGAGGTCGCCATTACTGTGGCTTAGTAGGCAGTTGTACCCTGATAGTTCTAAAGAAACTGGGAGGTTCGGACTGAGTGGAATTTACCACAGCAAAGCAAAGCAGCTGTGGACAGATTGCTTCTCTAGATTTCTCCTCCCAGGGCAGGCCATCTCTGCAGGAAATCCAGAAGCTCCATTCAGGGGCTTACAGACAGAACTGTCATCTTCCTGGCACAGAGCACCTGGGGGGAGGAAAGGCTGTGGTCACAGGTTCAGTGGACTTAATCTTTCCTGCCTGCCAACTCTGAAGAGAGCAGCTGATCCTGACAAGGGGGGTTCTCCCAGCACAGTGCACCAGCTCTGCCAAGGGACAGATGGCCTCCTCAGGCAGGCCCCTGACCAGATGCCTCTTGACTGGGAGAGACCTCCCAATAGGGGGTGGCAGACACCTCATACAGGAGAGCTCTGGCTGGCATTAAGCTGGTGCTCCTCTGGGATGAAGCTTCCAGAGGAAGGAGCAGGCAGCAATCTTTGCTATTCTACAGCCTCCACTGGTGATACCCAGGCAGACAGGGTCTGGAGTGAACCCCCAGCAAACCGTAGCAGACCTCCAGAAGAGGGGCCTGACTTAGAAGAAAAAGTAACAGATAGGAAGCAACAGCAACCAAAACATCAACAAAAATACCAACCCAACAAACCCTAACCAAAGATGATCAGCCTCAAAGATCAAAGGTAGATAAATCCATGAAGATGAGGAAAAACCAGCACAAAACACTGAAAATTCCAAAAGACAGAATGTCTCTTCTCCTCCAAATGATTGCGATACCTCTCCAGCAAGTGCACAGAACCGTATTGAGAATGAGATGAATGAATTGACAGAAGTGGTCTTCAGAAGGTAGGTAATAACAAACTCCGCTGAGCTAAAGGAGTATGTTCTAACCCAATGCAAAAAAAGCTAAGAAACCGATAGAAAGTAAGAGTAGTTGCTAACTAAAATAACCAGTTTAGAGAGGAACATAAATGACCTGATGAAGCTGAAATCACAGCATGAGAATTTCATGAAGCACACGCAAGTATCAATAGCCGAACTGATCAAACAGAAGAAAGGATATCAGAGATTGAAGATCAACTTACTGAAATAAGGCATGAAGACAAAGCTTAGAGATGAAGTAGAAAAAAAGGATATCAGAGTTTGAAGACCATCTTGCTGACATAAAGTATGTAGACAAGATTAGAGAAAAAAGGATAAAAACAAACAAACAAAAACCTCTGAGAAATATGGGATGATATAAAAACACAAGTCATTGAGAATGAATCACACAAGACATTGAGAAGTTGGAAAACACACTTCAGGATATTATCCAGGAGAATTTCCCCCAACCTAGCAAGACAGGCCAACATTCAAATTCAGGAAATACAGACAACACCACTGAGATATTCCCTGAGAAGATCAACCCCAAGACACATAATCATCAGCTTCTCTAAGGTTGAAATGAAGGAAAAACTATTAAGGGCAGCCAGAGAGAAAGGTCAGGTCACCTACAAAGGGAAGTCCATTAGACTAACAGCAGATATCTCAACAGAAACCCTACAAGCCAGAAGAGAGTGGGGGCCAATATTCAACATACTTAAAGAAAAGAATTTTCAACCCAGAATTTCATACCCAGCCAAACTAAGCTTCATAAGCGAAGGAAAAATAAAATGCTTTCCACTCAAGGAAATGGTAAGAAATTTCATCACCACGAGGCCTGCCTTGCAAGAGGTCCCAAAGGAACCACTAAATATGAAAAGGAAAAACTGGTACCAGCCACTGAAGTAACACAGCAAAATATGATGACCAATGATACTATGAAGAAACTGCATCAACTAGTGTGCAAAATAACCAGCTAGCATCATGATGATGGGATCAAATTCACACATAACAATTTTAGCCTTAAATGTAAATGGGTGGAATCCCCAATTAAAAGACACAAACTGGCAAATTGGATAAAATGTCAAGACCCATCATTGTGCTGTATTCAGGAGATCCATCTCACATACAAAGACACACATAGGCTCAAAATAAAGGGATAGAGGAAAATTTAACAAGCAAATGGAAAGCAAAGGAAAGCAGGAGTTGCAATTCTACTCTATGATAAAATAGACTTTAAACCGACAATGATCAAAAAAGAAAAGGAAGGTCATTAAATGATGGTAAAGTGATCAATTCAACAAGAGGAGCTAACTATTCTAAATATAGATGCACCAAATACAGTAGCACCCAGAGTCATACAACGAGTTCTTAAGAGACCTACAAAGAAACGTAGGCTCCCACACAATAATAGTAGGACACTTTAACACCCCACTGTCAATATTAGACAGATCAACAAGACAGAAAATTAACAAGGATATTCAGGATTTGAACTCTGCTCTGAATCAAGTGGACCTAACAGACATCTACAGAACTCTCCACCCCACATCAAAGGAATTTACATTCTTCTCAGTGCCACGGGGCACTTATTCTAAAATTGACCATAATTAGAAGTAAAACACTCCTCAGCAAATGCAAAGGAGTGGAAGTCTTTCAGACCACAGTTCAATTAAACTAAAACTCAGCATTCAGAAACTCACTCAAAACCACACAGTTTCATGGATATTGAATAACCTGCTCCTCAATGACTCCTGCTAAATAACAAAAGTAATGCAGAAATCAAGAAATTCTTTGTAACCAATGAGAACAAAGAGACAACTTGTCAGAATCTCTGGGACACAGCTAAAGCAGTGCTAAAAGGGAAATTTATAGCACTAAATGCCCAATCATAAAGCTGGAAAGATCTCAAATCAACACCCTAACATCACAATTAAAAGAAGTAGAGAAGCAAGAACAAACAAATCCAAAAGTTAGCAGAAGACAAGAAATAACTAAGATCAGAACAGAACTGAAGGAGGTAGAGACACAAAAAAACCCTTCAAAAAATCAGTGAATCCAGGAGCTAGTTTTTTTGAAAAAAATTAACAAAACAAACCACAGGCTATACTAATAAAGAAGAAAGGAGAGAAGAATCAAATAGACACAATAAAAAATGATAAAGAGGATATCACCAATGGCCCCACAGATATACAAACTACCATCAGAGAATACTATAAATGCTTCTATGAAAATAAACTAGAAAACCTATGAGAAAATGGGTAAATTCCTGGACACATACATTCTCCCAAGACTAAACCAGGAAGAAGTCAAATCCCTGAAGAAACCAATAAGAAGTTCTGAAATTGAGGCAGTAATTAATAGCCTACCAACCAAAAAAAAAAGCCCAGAACCAGAAGGATTCACAGCCAAATTCTACCAGTGGTATAAATAGGAGCTGGTACCATTCCTTCTGAAACTATTCCAAAGAATTGAAAAGGAGGGACTCCTTCCTAACTCATTTTATGAGGTCAGCATCATCTTGCTAACACAACCTGGCAGAGACAAAACAATAAAAGAAAACTTCAAGCCAGTAAAACTTCAAGCCAGTATCTCAGATGAACATTGATGTCAAAATCCTCAATAAAATACTAACAAACTGAATCCAGCAGCACATCAAAAGGTTATACACTGCAATAGAGTTGGCTTCATCTCTGGGATGCAAGGCTGGTTCAATATGTGCAAATCAATAAATGTAACCCATCACATAAACAGAACCAAGGACAAAAACCACATTATTATCTCAATAGATGCATAAAATTTCTTCGATACAATTCAACATTCCTTTATGTTAAAAACTCTTAATAAACTTGGTATTGATAAAACATATTCAAAATTATAAGTGCTATTTGTGACAAACCCTTAGGCAATACTATACTGAATCACAAAAGCTGGAAGCATTCCCTTCGAAAACCAGCACAATACAAGGATGACCTCTCTCACCACTCCTATTCAGTACTGGAAGTTCTGGTCAGGGCAATCAGGGAATATATTTTTAAAAGCATATTTAAATAAAAAGAGAGAAAGTCAAATTGTATTTTTGCAGATGACATGATTCTATATTTAGAAAACCTCATCATCTCAGGCCAAAAACTCCGTATGCTGATAAGTAAGTTCAGCAAAGTCTCAGGATACAAAATTAATGTGCAAAAAACACAAACATTCCTGTGCACCAAGAATAGTCAAGCAGAGAGCCAACTCATGAATTAACTCCATTCTCAATTGCTACAAAGAGAATAAAATACCTAGGAAAAGAGCTAACAAGGGATATGAAGGACCTCTCGAGAACTACAAACTACTGCTCAAGGAAATAAGAGAGGACACAAAGAAATGGAAAAACATTCCATCCTTATGGATAGGAAGAATCAATATCATGAAAATGGCCATACTTCCCAGAGTAATTTATAGATTTAATGCTATTCCCTTCAAACTACCATTGACATTGTTCACAGTATTAGAAAATATTTCCTTACATTTTATATGGAACCAAAAAGTAGCCCATATAGCCAAGACAATTCTAAACAAAAAGAACAAAGCTGAAGGCATTATGCTACCTGAATTCAAACTATACTACAAGGCTACAGTAACCAAAACAGTATGGTGCTAATAACAAAACAGACATATAAACCAATGGAACAGAACAGAGACCTCAAAAATAACACCATATATCTACAGCCATCTAATTTTTGACAAATCTGACAAAAACAATCAATAGGGAAATTATTCCCTTTCTAATAAATATTGCTGGGAAAACTGGCTAGCCATGTGCAGAAAACTGAAAGTAGACCCCCACCTTACACCTTATACAAAAACTAACACAAGATGGATTAAAGACTTAAATATAAAACCCAAAACCATAAATTTACTCGAAGAAAACCTAAGCAATACCATTTAGGACACACAGATGGGCAAAGACTTCTAGACAAAAACACCAAAAGCAATTGCAACAAACCCAAAATTTGACAAATGGGATCTAATTAAACTGAAGAGCTTCTGCACAACAAAATAAACTAGCATCAGAGTGAACAAGCAACCTACAGAATGGGAGAAAAATTTGTAATCAACCCATCTGACAAAGGTCTAATATCCAGAATCTACAAGGAACTTAAATTTAAAAGACAAAAACAAACAACTTCATCAAAAAGTGGGTAAAGGATATGAACAAACACTTCTCAAAAGAAAACATTTATGCATGCAAAAAAATATGTAAAAAAGCTTATTATCACTGATTATTAGAGAAATGCAAATCACAACAATGAGACACCATCTCACACCAGTCAGAATGGCGATTATTAAAAAGTCAAGAAATATAATAAAGGAAGGTAACAACCCCATCTTTCAGGTTATAGGAAGAACCATTGGTCTAACTTCTGCTGTCATCCAACTCCACATTATAAAACCTATTTAAAGTATGAAGTGGGTTATATTGAGTTAGCTATCAAAAAGAGTCAGATTTCATTCTATCTTTGTAAGCCCTTTGGTGAGTTGCCTGTGATGCATATTACATTTTCCTATAATACTTACTCAAAAATTAAATTGTTTTCTTTTTCTTCTAAATTTATGAAGAGGTTTTTTGGGTTTCAAGAATAGTTTGTTTTTAAGTATATTTCTCTAGCAAAGTACAAAAAATCAAGTTGCACAAGTAAATTGTATGGAATATTAGGAGGTGAAAATACTGTAAAAATAAAATGATAGGAAAACAAAACTCATTATGTTTTGAAATTTTAAATGGAGTTTTCTGAGAATTTTAAATGGAGTTTTCTGAGAAAGCATGGTTGAGGGGTTGATAGTTGAATATTGCTCGCGGGGTATGAGATAGAGAACTGCTAGAGCACCTAGTCTTACCTCTATAGGAGAGGAGAGGATCAAGTGCAAATAGTAACCTGTGTGTTACTATTAGCAAAAGTCATGCAAAACTCAATTATTGCTTGTGAAAAGTCAATTATTGCTTTGCTTGAGTTTAGAAGTTATTCACTAAAAACAGCCTCAGGAAAACATGACATTCAACAGAGATAAAAGAAAATACATCAACCAGCAACACTAAAAATGGGCCAGCCAGCCAAATAAGAATAACTTGAAGGTGCCTACGGAAGGTCAGAAAGCATTGACAAGAAAGCAATAATTAGCTGCCTTTTTGAGACTGTACACATTTTACAATAATGTCTTTATCATTTCCCCTAATTTCTCCTAAAACTCCTGAACCAGAGGCACAACTCAGAAAGGCAGTGTTTGAATGCTAGTTTAATGGCTCCTCTAGGTTGTTGGCTTCTCAAATAAAGGTAACTTTTCTTTCACTAAAGCCTGTCTCTTCAGTTTTTATCTTTCAAACTACAAGTGGTCCAACCTAAGTATGGTTTAAAAGAAGAGTGTAAACCAAAAATAAAAATCTAAGCCTCCAGCTGACTGACGAATCTTCCTCTCAGCCAAAGACATTCCAAAGTAAACCTTACATTGTAGTTCAGGCTGTAATGGAAAGAGGGTGGAGGCTGAACATGCCTCATCGCTTATAGCCTTCTCCCTTTGGAATTCAGGTACAACTGACCAACATCAATCATTAAAACAGATATACTTCTACAATAATAACAGTAAAACATTGGTTCAATAAATTGAGTATGACACAAAAAAGTAAAAATATTCCTTGTTGATGGATTTGAAGAATCAATACTGTTAAAATGTCCATGCTACCCAAAGCAATTTACAGATTCAAACTCATCTCTATCAAAATACCAATAACATTCTTCAAAAAAATAAAAAAATTCTAAAGTGCATATGGAATCCTAAAAGACCTAGAATACCTAAAGCAATTTTGAGCAAAAAGAAAAAAACTGAAGGAATCATAGTGCCTGAGTTAAAATTATACTAAGGAACAATAGTAACCAAAACAACATGATACTGATGTTAAAAACAAACACATAGACTAATGGAATGGAAGAGATTACCAAGAAACGAATCCATACAGGGAACTCATTTTTGACAAAGATGCCAAGAACATATATTGGGAATATTCAGTCTGTTCTATGAAATGGTGCTGGGAAAACTGAATATCCTTATGAAGAAAAATGAAACTAGACAACTATTTCTTGGCTTATACAAAAATAAAATTGTTTTAAATACTTTAATCTACAACCTCAAACTATGAAACTACTAACAGAAAACATTCAGGAAATGCTCCAGGACATTGGACTAGGCAAAGATTTCTTGAGCAATTCACTGCAGGAACAGGCAATCAAAGCAAAGGTGGACAAATGGAATCAAATTAAGTTAAAAAGCATCTGCAGAACAAAGAAAACAATCAACAAAGTAAAGAGACAATCCACATGCCTGGGAGAAAATATTTTAAAACCACCCATCTAACAAGAAATTAGTACTCAGAATATATAAGGGGCTCAAACAACTCTAATTGTCTAATAATTATTAGACAATTAGAAAAAGTCTAACAATTCATTTTTAAAATGGGCAAAAGATTGGAATAGGCTTTCTCCAAAGAAGACACACAAATGGCAAACTGGTGTATGAAAAGTTAAAAATACTATACTTAAAAAGTTAAAAATATTACAGAATTTTCATACGATCCAACAATTTCACTTCTGGGGTATACTCCAAAAATTTGTAAAGAGGGATTTAAAAAGATATTTGTACACTCATGTTTATGGCAACGTTATTTTCAATAGCCAAAAGGTGGAAACAGCCCAAGTGTTCATCAAAAAATTAATGGATAAACAAAATATGGTATATGCATACAGTGGAATAATGTCAGCCTTAAAAATGAAATTGTGATACATACACGTATATACATGGATAAACTTTGAGGCTATTATCCTAAGTGGGATAAGCCAGTCACAAAAGGTTAAATTCTGTATGATTTCACTTAGATGAGATACCTCTAGAGAACCTCGAATTTATAACAACAGATAGTAGAATGGTGGTTGCCAAAGGCTAAGGAAAGAAAGTAATCGTGTAGTTTTTGTTCAGCGGGTACAGTTTAATGCCAAGTACCAGCAGTCCCCAACCTTTTTGGCACCAGAGAGTGGTTTCATGGAAGACATTTTTCCACTGATTGGGCAGGGGTTGTGGGGAAACAGTTTTGGGATGAAATTGTTTCACCTTAGATCATCAGGCATTAGTTACCTTCTCATAAGGATCCCAGAACCTAGATCCTGATCATGCACAGTTCATAATAGGGTTCAGTCTCCTATGAGAGTCTAATGCTGCTATTGATCTGACAGGAGGCAGAGGGCAGGCGGCAATGCTCACTTTCTGCTGACTTCCTGCTGTGCGGCCTGGTTCCTAACAGGCCATGGACCAGCACACCTCTGTGGCTTGGGGGGTTGGAGACCCATGCTGTAGAAAATGAAAAATATCTGGAGATTGGTTGTACAGCCATGTGAATGTACGTCACATTACTGAACTGTACACTTGAAAATAATTAAGATTCTTCTATGTTATGTATATTTTACAGAAATTAAAACAAAATAAAAAACTAAAAAACAGTATCTCAATAAAGAAAGACTCAGGTACTTTTCCTGAGTAAAGAACATTTAAGAGGCATAACTAAGAAAGGCAACTCATCATCTGACTTTGATTCTTTTGCTATATGAAAGGTATTATTGGGATATTTGGCAAAATTTTAGTAGGGTCTGTAGACTAGATGGGAGTAATGTATCCATGGTAACTTCATTATTTGGGCAGTTTTATTTGTTTATGTAGGAGAAAAATCGCTATTTGTAGGAAAGCCACTAAGATATTAAAGAGTGCTGGTTTAAATCTCAAATGATTCTGAGGAGAAAAATTTGTGTTGTTATTGCAACTTTGGAATAACTTTGAGAATGTTTCCAAAAAAGCCTTAAAACTACATAATACCTGAAAAAAGGGCTTGTTTGATATAAAATAAAAATTACACTTTCCATATTACAAAGAAGCAGTTTACATTTTAGCCACTAGAATTTGGAAAATTGAAGACCACCAGTTGATCTGGGTTTGAATTTCTAGTAAGATGCAAAAAAAATACTGTTAAAGATAATAAAATTATCAATTAAATTTAGTAATGTTGCTAGATACAAAATCAATGTAATAACTGCAGTTTTGTTTTTTATGTCAACAAATAAATTAAAATTATAAAGGTACAATTACTTACAACAATGTCAGTAAACATTATATACCCAAAAGATGTGCCAAGTCCCTGTTTTAGGTCCTTATGATAAAACAGAAAACAACTGAGAAAACACTAACAATTATTCTTGAGTAGTTGACATCCAGAGTCAGGTTTGCTAGATGGTCAAATTAAGCAAATCAAGACACAGGACAATATAAAATTTGAATATCAGATAAATAACAAAAATTTATTAGTACAAGTTTCCTGCAAATCCACACTGAACAGAATATTATGTTCATTGTTCATCTTAAATTCAAATTTAATTGGGTACACTTTATTATGTGGTAACAATATTCAGGTGGTAGACCAAAAAATTCAAAAGTGTATCAATAGCTTCATTTGGTTAAGCATAAAGAGCAAAAGAAATTTAAATATCTTCCTGTTGACAATGTAAATTATTACAGTTGGAGAGAAATTTGGAAATTTTGTAAAATTCATACATGAAAGTTCTTTTTCACCATAATTCCACCTTTCATTTATGTTCTGGATAGACTTGAGCATATATTTGAAGGAAAACATGAACCCAAGAAATAGCATTGCTTTTAATTTTCCAACAAAAGAAGAAATAGGTTGTAATTTACTAAAATTGAAAAAAGTACAGCTACATGTGGCTACATATTTCAACATGGAAGAAGTCCACCGAGATTTCTGAAAGAAAGAGCAAATCTTACAAAAACGTACTTTTTATTTATAAATACAGACATTAAAGACATAAAGAGCCCCGTGTCGTGCTGCCCCTCCTGATTAGGCCTCGGGGCCGGCCCTGGCCACTGTCCCTGCAGTGGATGCAATCGCGGCGGCTCCAGTCCTCAGGCGGCTCCAGTCCTCAGGCGGCTCCAGTCCTCAGGGGGTTCCAGTCCTCAGGCGGCTCCAGTCCTCAGGCGGCTCCAGTCCTCAGGGGGCTCCAGTCCTCAGGGGGTTCCAGTCCTCAGGCGGCTCCAGTCCTCAGGGAGCTCCAGTCCTCAGGCGGCTCCAGTCCTCAGGGGGCTCCAGTCCTCAGGGGGTTCCAGTCCTCAGGCGGCTCCAGTCCTCAGGCGGCTCCAGTCCTCAGGGCGGCTCCAGTCCTCAGGGGGCTCCAGTCCTCAGGCGGCTCCTGTCCTCAGGCGGCTCCAGTCCTCAGGGGGCTCCAGTCCTCAGGGGGTTCCAGTCCTCAGGCGGCTCC
The DNA here is from genome assembly GCF_000001405.40 of Homo sapiens. Classification (NCBI taxonomy): domain Eukaryota; kingdom Metazoa; phylum Chordata; class Mammalia; order Primates; family Hominidae; genus Homo; species Homo sapiens. The sequence continues at coordinate 248,306,568 of NC_000001.11, read as the reverse complement.
AGTCCTCAGGGCGGCTCCAGTCCTCAGGGCGGCTCCAGTCCTCAGGCGGCTCCAGTCCTCAGGGCGGCTCCAGTCCTCAGGGGGCTCCAGTCCTCAGGCGGCTCCTGTCCTCAGGGGGTTCCAGTCCTCAGGCGGCTCCAGCACCCGCGACCCGCCTGGCTCCGTCTGAGTCCGTGGTTAGGCTCCCTCCATCCCTGCGTTCCCTGGCCTCCCTCTCCTGTTGTTTTCCCCAGATTCACCCCAGCACGGCCCCATGGCGCAAGGAGACCCGCTGGAAAGGAAGCATTTGAACTCCAGAAGCACAGGACTTGCGACTTTCAGCCTTTGCGCCCATCTCTGCGCCACCAGCCCCGCAGAAGTAGCTGGGAATGGAGCTGTCCCCATCCAGAGACATCTCCAGGCTCACCACGGAGCAAATTCTGTGCAGAAGAAGAGAATAAACGCATGCGGAACAGAAGGCGTTTTAGAAACTAGTTTCCAACCGACAGATCCACCTCGTACTTCTGATGCACGGTCACATGCATTTCTCCTCAAAGGACTTCATCTATAACATCCTCACCATTAAATAAAGACAGGCCTTGTCTACTCTAGGGCAGGATGAGTAGGTCTGTGAACGTTTTCTGAAAGAATGTGATGAGAAAATTCGAGAGGAGCATGAAGAAATCAAACACAAAACTGGCAGAACAGGATGAGGCATTTGTGAAGTTCACGCTTGGGGAAATAATGTGACGCTCTGGCGCTGGCTCTTACGTTTCATGACTCACACATTCTGCATTTGCCGTTGCCTTATTCCTGCTGACTTATTGCAAAGGGTCCCAATTTTGTCCTGACACAATGCCAGGATCCCTCGGTGAATACAGGTTTTTGCAAGCTTTTGACAATGGCAACCACTCTCAGGCCCTAGCAACTGGTTTGGGACATTTCCCCGATCTCAGCACCACTTAATGTGGACCTTTGCTACCTATATTAATACAGTTTTGGCTCCTTATTTTAATATGTTTGAAAAGGATTAAAGGGGGATATTCTAAAACATATCCTTCGCTCGTTGTGTAAATAAAACTAGAATGACAATGCAGAGGAAGTTAGTGTGATTTTAATTGTGTGCTACAACCAGTACATAACCAGTTATTACAAATTGAGAATGTAATTCCAGGACAATCTGAAGCAAATAGCCTGCAATTCTTCTTGAGAAATAGTGAAGGAGGAAGCCATTTCTGTATTCCAGGACTTCTTGG